>NC_000007.14:152791713-152943228 GCF_000001405.40 Homo sapiens
TGCTATTCCTATATAATTACACTTACTCCTCTCCCTCTACTGTTCCTAACCACTACTCTGTTTTCATCTCTATAATTTTATCATCTCCATAATATATGTTCTTCAATAGATTAATATTTAAACTGACAGTAGTACATCATACACTAAATACTACTCAGCAGTAATGCTACTACTCATACAGTGTGTGCCTTTTTTTGGGACAGAATCTCGCTTTGTTGCCCAGGCTGGAGTGCAGTGGTGTGATCTCAGCTTAATGTGACCTCAGCCTCCTGGGTTCAAGCAATTCTCCTGCCTCAGCCTCCTGAGTAGCTGGGATTACAGGTGCCCACCACCACGCCCGGCTAATTTTTGTATTTTTAGTAGAGATGGGTTTTCACCATGTTGGCCAGGCTGGTCTCAAACTCCTCAAGTGATCCACCTGCCTCGGCCTTCCAAAGTGCTGGGATTACAGGTGTGAGCCACTGTGCCTGGCCCCCCATTTCTAATATAATTGTCTTAAATCTTTCCTCGATATACATTGAATCTCATGAGATTCACATCAGTTACAATTTTTGCTTCAACTGCCAGACATAATTTAGAAAACGCAAGAGGAAAAGGAAAATAATTATGATCCATATTTTTGCTCTTTCCATTGTTCTTTCTTTTTTCTTGATGTACTCAAATTCCTTCTTTTATCATTTCTTTTCTCTTTAGAGAACTTCCTTTAGCCATTCTTTTTAATATTTATTTATTTTTTTTTAATTAAAGAAACATAGGCCGGGCACGGTGGCTTATGCCTGTAATCCCAGCACTTTGGGAGGCAGAGGCAGGCGGGTCATGAGGTCAAGAATTGAGACCATCCTGGCCAACATGGTGAAACCCTGTCTCTACTAAAAATACAAAAATTAGCTGGGTGTGGTGGCGTGCACCTGTAGTACCAGCTATTTCGGGAGGCTGAGGCAGGAGAATTGCTTGAACCTGGGAGGTGGAGGTTGCAGTGAGCTGAGATTGCGCCACTGCACTCCAGCCTGGGTGACAGAGCGATACTCCATCTCAAAAACAAACCAAAAAAACAAAAACAAAAACAACAACAACAAAAATAATGGACTGCCTGAACATCCCAAGCCATTCTTTTGAAGTAGGTGTGCTGTTGACAAATTGTGTTAGTTTTATTTCAACGGAAAGTCTTGATTTGCTCTATTCTCGGGATATTTTTGCTGAACATAGAATTCTGGATGGACAGTTCTTTCAGCACAAAAATGTTGTGGTACCTTTTTTTTTGGTGTGTATGTGTCAAGATTTCTGATGAGAAATGTCCTTAGAAGCTGAATTTTTTTTTTTTTTTTTTTTGGTCTTTAGTTTTTAGAAGTTTGAGTATAATGTGTTTTGGAATGGATTTTTTTTGTTTTGTTTTGTTTCGGGTTAACTTATTTGGGGTTTGTTCAGTATTGAATCTATTAGTTTATTTCTTTTTCTCTTCCCTTTTTTTTTTCTTGCCAAATTTGGCAGTTTAGCCATTGTTTCTTTGCATACCTTCTGGTCCTGCCTTCTTTCTCTTTTCCTTCTGGGAATTGTAATCCACAAATGCTAAATCTTTTCTTATATATCCCAGATGTCCCTGAGGCTCTGGGCTCTGTTTTTTTTTTTTTACTTCTTCCAGTCTATTTTCTCTCTTTTGTTTGGACTGGGTAATGTCTGTTATTCTGTCTTCAAGTTCAGTGTTTCTTTCCTCTGTCCTTTTCTTCTGTTGAGGCCATCTCTTAAGATTTTTATTTCAGTTATTGTGATTTTTAATTCTAGAATTTCCATATGGTTTTGTCTTTATATCTTGTTTCTTTGCTGTGGCTTTGTATTTGCTTGCTGAGACTTCCTTTTATTTTCCATTTGTTTCAAGAGTCAAGAGTATTTGAGATTGCTCATTGAGGCATTTTGTGATGGCTCCTAAAATCCTTGTTTGATAATTATAATGTCTGTGTTATCTCGGTGGCATTGTCTATTCATTGTCTTTTCTCTTTTCAGTTGAGATGTTACTGGTTTTTGCCATGGTGAGAGTTTTAAAGTGGAAACCTAGATACTTTGGGTATTATGTTATGAGGTTCTTATTTTAATTTTGTGTTTTAGCAAGTCTTTTCTGACACTACTCCAGCAGGGGAATGGGGATACCACTTCATTATTGCCAGTGTGGGGGTCAAAGTTGAGGTTCTCCTTTTGGCCTTTGTTGACACTCACTTGGGGAGGAGCTCCATGTTACTGCTGGGCTGGGGTGGAAGTGGGGACTGTGGTATGTTGTGCTGTACTAGAGATAGCTTGGGTGACATAGATTATTTAGACAGATTTCTCCATTGTGTTCATAAGAACTGTTTGGGCCACATCTTGTTCCATAGGTATAGACAAAATATTTGGAATATAAGCTCTATATACTTTTATTCTCTTGCATGGATACAGTTGCTTCCTCTATAGTTGTTAAAAGAAGTATACTTTGTGTGTGTGTATATGTGTTTTAATTTATTTTTATTTTTATTCTTTTTGATTATTATTATTTTTTACACAGAGTCTTGCTCTGTTGCCAGGCTGGAGTGCAGTGGCGTGATCTCGGCTCACTGCAACCTCCACCTCCTGGGTTCAAGCAGTTCTCCTGTCTCAGCCTCCTGAGTAGCTGGGACTACAGGTGCGCACCACCATGCCCAGCTAAGTTTTGTATTTTTAGTAGAGTTGTGGTTTCATCATGTTGGCCAGGATGGTCTCGATCTCTTGACCTTGTGATCTGCCCACCTCAGCCTCCCACAGTGTTGGGATTACAGGCGTGAGCCACTGTGCCCGGCTATCTTTACAATCTTTTATATTGACTTGACAGTTTAATTCTGGATTCACACACAATTAAGTTTGATCTTGCCTAGAGGATAGGATCTGTCACTTGTATTGGCACATTGGCAGTGGCCCTTTGGAATACCAAACTTGTACATCAGATGGTTCTGTGTGGTGTCAGTCAGTGTGCCATTGAATGGTGTGGTCAGAGATGGATGTTATCTATTTCTACAGATCACCTCAGTCGTCGTGGCCCACAAGACTTTTCTAGCCCATGTTCAGCCCAAGATCTCCAATGTCCTCTTCACTTCTCATTTCAGCCCGTGTTTCCACTTCACTCGTGCTTTCTTCAGTTCTGCTGAAGTTCTGTCCTTTACTTGTTTATAATTTGATATCTTTGAGACTTTAAATGTGGCAGTGAGTTGCAATGAGAAAAGGAGGTGGGGAAAGTGATTTCTGCCCTGTGTCTTTTTCTTTTCACCTTTTTATCCTGTTACCTCAAGATGCCCTTCTGAGAAAAAGGCTTCAGTTTCACTCTCTTTTTTTTTTTTTTTTGAGATGGAGTCTCACTTTGTCACCCAGGCTGGAGTGCAGTGGCATGATCTCAGCTCACTGCAACCCCTGCCACCTGAGTTCAAGCAATTCTCCTGCCTCAGCCTCCTGAATAGCTGGGATTACAGGCATGGGCCACCACACCCAGCTAATTTTTGTATTTTTTGTTTTATTTTAAGAACAGATGGGGTTTCACCATGTTGGCCAGGGTGGTCTTGAATTCTTGACCTCAGGTGATCTGCCCAACTTGGCCTCCCACAGTGCTGGGATTACAGGCGTGAGCCACTGCTCCTGGCCTCAAATTCACTCTTATAGCTGTGTTGTTATTCTTCATTTGTAGTAAATTGGAGATTCCAGATAATCTACTTTTAGAAATAATTGTATATGTTTATTAATTTGTCTTGGAACAAATTCTAATATAAATTTCTAGCTAGCTTAATAGCTCTCTGTTTGAGAAAATTCTATAGCCTGACTTACCTTGAAAACTTTTCATTTGGAAATGAGGCATTAAAGGTAAATGACTTTGAGAGGTAACAGGGTAAATGCTTTAGCTCACAAACAAAAGATTAGCTTTTACTTTTATTATGTTTGTTTAGCTTCTTTTTAATAGCTGAAAAACCAATATATCCAGTAGAAGAAGCAAAAGTCACCAGTAGCTCTACCATCCATGGTTAACCAGTATTAATCTTTTGTCTGGCCATCTTATTTTTCTGAATTTACATTAAACACACCCGTGCAACTCTGTCTGAAGTGGAGTCATACTGTGGTTATTCTGAAAGGCAACTTAGTAGCTCTTGTTTTTTTTTTTTTTGGAGGCGGTGTCTTGCTCTGTCACCCAGGCTGGAGTGCAGTGGCGCGATCTCGGCTCACTGCAACCTCTGCCTCCCAAGTTCAAGTGATTCTCCTGCCTCAGCCTCCCAAGTAGCTGGGATTATAGGCGCCCGCCCCCATGCCTGGCTAATTTTTGTATTTTTAAGTAGAGATGAGGTTTCACCATGTTGGTCAGGCTGGTCTTGAACTCCTGATCTCAGGTGATCTACCCGCCTCGACCTCCTAAAGTGCTGGGATAACAGGCGTGAGCCACCGCGCCCGGCCTTAGCAGCTCTTTCTAAGGATTTGATATAATTTATTTACCTGATCTCTGATTTCAGGTCAGTTAACTTTCCTCCTTCAATTTGTTGCTATTATAATTAGTTCTACAAAGAGTGTTGTTGTGTATATACTTTTATTTACTCAATGATTATTTCTTTAGAATGAAATTCTAGAAGTGGAATTGCTGGATAAACATAATATTTTTCTCAGTTCTTCTCTGGAATGGTTGTATCTGGGTACCTGTTCAGTTCCGCCAGTCACAAATTTGGTCTCCAATTTGGTATAGATAATATTGTTTATTGAGTACTATTCTCTACCACAGTCTCTGCTAAACACTTTGTAAACATTGTTCCATTTAATACTCACCACCCTGATAGGTAGTGGTATATGCATTTTGGAGGAGAGAGCACTGAGGGTTAATAATAACTTTCCTCAAGTCAGCTAACTAGTAAGTGCTCAAACCTAGGTTTTCATAACTTCAGAGTCTGTGTGCTCATTCATGAAGTAGCTGTGCAGAAAAATTAACTTGGCTGGACTGTTTGAAGAAATTAGTTCATATCAGAAACTGTTTTTTGTTTGTTTGTTTTGTTTGTGACTGGGTCTTGTTCTGTTACCCAGGCTGGAGTGTGGTGGCGTGATCATGGCTCACTGCAGCCTCAATTTCCCAATCCCCTTGTCTCAGGCTCCCAAGTAGTTGGGACTCCCGGCTAGTTTTTGTGTTTTTTTTTTTTTTTTTTTTTTTTTTTTTTTTTTTTTTGTAGAGACGGGTTTTCACCGTGTTGCCGAGACTGATCTCAAACTCCCAGACTTAAGCAATTTGCCTGTCTCGACCACCCAAAGTGCTGGGATTACAGGTGTGAGCCACTGTGCCCGGCCTAGAAACATTATTTACTCTCTCCTGAAATTCAGTCACAAGGATTTAAAAAATTTTTTTAATTAAAAACAGTTTTTAAAAATTTAAACTTTTTTGATATAGGGTCTCACTCTGTTGCACAGGCTGGAGTGCAGTGGGGCTATCATAGCTCATTGCAGCCTCAACCTCCTGGGCTCAAGTGATCCTTTCAAGTAGCTAGGACTACAGGCATGTGTGCCATTGTGCCTGGCTAATTTTTTAGCTTTTTTAGAGATGGGGTCTTGCTATGTTGCCCAGGCTGTTCTGAAACTCCTGAGCTCAAGCTATCCTCCTGCCTTAGCCTCCTGAGTCTCTGGGATTACGTGCATGAGCCATGAGCCACCACAGCTGGCTCTGATTTTAATTTTTTAAATTGACAGATAACATTGTGTGTTTTTATCGTGTATAATATGATGTTTTGAAGTATATATACATTGTGAATGGTTAAATCTAGCTAATTAACAAATGCATTACTTCATATAGTCATCATTTTTGTGGTGAGAGCACATAACACGTACTCTACATTTTTTAAGAATGCAATATATCGTCATTAACTGTTGTCACGTCGTTGTATGCTAGATCTCTTGTAATTTATTTCTCCTATCTAACTGTAGTTACGTATTTTTTGACCAACATCTCCTTGTCCTTCCCATCCCCGAACAGCCTCAGCCCCCTGTAACCACCATTCTATAGCCTACCTCTATGAGATCAACTTTTTAAGATCCTGCATATGAATGAGACCATGTGATATTTGTCTTTCTGTGCCTGGCTTATTTTACTTAACATAGTGCCCTCGAGGTTCATCCATGTTGTGGGCAGATGGCAGAATTTCCTTTTTTTTTTAAATGGCTGAATAGTATTCCACTGTTTATAAAGCCACATTTTCTTTATCTGTTCACCCGTTAATGGACACGTAGGTTGATTCCAGATCTTGGTTATTGTGAATAGTGCTACAGTAAACATGGGAGTGCAGATAGCTCTTTAACATACTGATTTCATTTCCTTTGGATATATGCCCAGTAGTGGGATTGTTGGATCGTATGGTAGTTCTATTTTTAATTGTTTGAGGAGCCTCTATACTGTTTTCCATAATGGCTCTACTGATTTGCATTCCCACCTATAGTGTATAAAGGTTCTCTTTTTGTCACATCATCACCAACACTTACTATCTTTTGCTTTTTTGATAATTGCCATTCTCAGTGGGGTGAGTTGATTGATATTGTGGGTTTGATTTGCATTTCCCCAATGATTAGTGATGTTGAGCATTTTTTCATATACCTGTTGGCCATTTGTATGTCTTCTTTTGAGAAATGTCCATTCAGGTCTCTTGCTCATTTTTCACTTGGGTTATTTGTTTTTTTATTGCTGTTTGAGTTCTTTATATATTTTGATTATTAATCTTTTGTCAGGTAGATAGTTTGCAAATAGTTTCTCCCATTCTATAGATTGTCTCTTCACTCCGTTGATTGTTTTCTTTGCTGTGCAGAAGATTTTTAGTTTGATGTAATCCCAGTTATCTATTTTTGTTACCTGTGCTCTTGAGGTCTTGTCCAAAAAAATCCTTGCCCAGACCAATGTCATAAAGCATTTTACCGTTTTCTTCTAATAGTTTCACAGTTTCAGGTCTTACATTGAAGTAAGTCTTTAATCCATTTTGAGTTAATTTTTGTATATGGTTGAGAGATAAGCATTCATTTTCATTCTTCTGCATGTGGATATCCAGTTTCTCCAGTAACATTTACACTTTGCCCGTTGTGTAAAATCAGTTGAGTGTAAATACATGGATTCATTTCTGGGCTCTTTGTTCCACTGGTTTATATGTCTGTTTTTATACCAGTACCATGCTGTTTTGATTACTGTAGCTTTATAGTGTACTTTGAAGTCAGGTAGTGCGATCCCTCCAGCTTTCTTCTTTTTGCTTAAGATTCCCTTGACTGTTTGGGGTCTCTTGTGGTTCCATGTGAACTTAGGATTATTTTTTCTGTTTCTGTGAAGGATGCCATTGGTATTTTGATAAGGACTGTACTGACTCTGTACCTCACTTTGGGTAGTAAGTCACAAAGATTTTGATTCAGAGAAATTTTATCTAGCATTTACATTTGTATAGCTACAGAGTCGTACTTTCATCAGAAATACATTAAGGACAGTGAGAAGCCATTAGTATATTTATGGAATTAGGTTTATGTTAGAATTATTTAGGTATAGTTTGACCATTTTTCAAACCCACAATAAATATTTTAGTGGAGTAAAATGTTAATTTAGCAAATATTTCTCTAATGTCTGTTCTGATAGCCAGTGGCCTGCTTAGGTGCAAATCCTGTCTGTCTCTTAGAAGCTGTGTGACCTTGATAGATTGTTAAGCTTCCCTTTCTGTGAAATGCAGATAATAGTACCTGTCTCATAAGCTATTGTGAGGATGTAATAAAATAGTGTGCAAAAGGAAACACTTAGCAGAGTGTTCAATAAATGTAAACTTTAATTATTATTATTAGTTATTGACTTCAGAGCCTCCCACTGGAGAGACAGTTAAAGATGGGGGTTATCTGATGTCAAGGAATCTATAGTTTGGTAGACTGATCTTAAACAATTGTAATTCATCCAGAAAAATGCCTTAATGCAGGTATAAAAGGGCCAGTGGAAGCATCAAACACGTGTGCAGAACTGCAGGTTGTCAAGGAAGCCTTCAAGTGAGGAGATGGTGTTGATGTCGAGACCTGATGAATGAAAATAGCTCATGGGAGAGCTCAAGAGTGTGAGCAGGAGTTAGAAATTTCAATGGAAAATGGAATCTTTGTGATGCCCTCCACATTTCATTAGCTGTCTGGAGTGAATTGATATGATTATTTACTGCTAAGTATATTCCCAAATATTTAAGATTAAGATCTTATTAAAATAATGAATTATAAAGCCATTAATATTTGGAATTTTTATGTAATAGTTATTTGATTATGGTACTTTTTTTGGCTACAGATATTAACCAATAACATTCTAATTTATCCTTTTAATGGGATAAATTTTAACGGTTTTTTTTCTTCCTGTAACAAGACTAAAAGTACATTTTAAGGCTATGTGATGTAGAGTCTTATTATAGACATTATTTTTCAGTTTACTCTCCTTTTCTGTATTGTACAGAATTTTGTCCCCTTCTATATTGTATTTTAAATTTGGAACCTACTGATGTATAGGCATTTCACTTACTATCTTGAGGGATTTTTCCAGATAAAACTGAGAAATTTTGCAATGGACCTTCTGTCAGTATAAAAGTAGAGCAGCTCATTTCCTTTGTCCCATTCTGAAAATCATACCAGAATAGAATAGCCTGCTTCTGTATTATTTTATGTACTCATTGACATTGTCTTTTCTGTGAGCACCCTTCACCCCACATGGAGCCCTAACAATGAAAATTTACTTGTGTGTATATAAGGATATTATCCCTTTTGATCATTTAAATAGATATGGATAGTGATAGAAATCTGTGTGTGTGTGTTTTTTTTAAGGTATTGCCATCAGAGAGTCAGCAAAGGTAGTTGACCAAGCTCAAAGGAGAGTGTTGAGGGGAGTTGATGACCTTGACTTTTTCATAGGAGATGAAGCCATCGATAAACCTACATATGCTACAAAGGTAAATTTCCGACAGGTGTTTGCTTCTCTAAGTGTAGAGTAGTAGGATGAGTAATGCAAAATGGTCATCTAGAAGTTGTATTTGCGAGTTGTAGAATGTGTTATGTTTGAATTCTTATGTTTGAATAGAGGTGGTGGTGATGGTTGGTTTTGAATGGGGGTATTTTTGATTGGAGAATTAAGGGAATTAACAGATCCCTGGAATGCAGAATAGACTCAGGAAACACCAGGTCACACATGAAAGCAAGATCCCCTCCTCTGGAAAATTGTTGACAGGTTGACTAACCTGTCAGATGAGGGAAAATTGCAGATTGGTTAATTAAAAAGAAACACTAACGTTATTTAAGCAGACTTTTTTTTTTTAAAGCTCCAGATCCAATTGTATGATAATTAGCTGCAGTTTTCTATCGGTTCCTCATTGTATTTTTTGTTGTTGTTTTTTTAGAGATAGGTCTTACTCTGTCATCCAGGCTGGAGTGCTGTGATGCCGTCTTGGCTCACTGCAGCCTCGACCTCCTGAGCTCAAGCAATCCTCTCACCTCAACTTCCCAAGTAGGTGGGACTACAGGCACGCACCACCAAGCCTGGCTGATTTTTTAATTTTTTGTAGAGACAGTGTCTTGCTATGTTGCCCTGGCTGGTTTTGAACTCCTGGGCTCGGGTGAGCCTCCTGCCTTGGCCTCCCAAAGCGTTGGATTAGAGGCGTGAGCCACTGTGCCTGGCCTGCCTCCGTGTCATTGTTAAGGTGATTCTTTGTTTGTGGAAATGAGTGGAGGAGAATATGAACAATAATGTAACTTAATCTTTTTTTTCCAAATGCTGTTGTTTCTTTACAAGAATTAACAAAAACTGCAATAAGAAGGATACCTTTATTCTTAATAACACAGTTTCTTCTGTGCCACTGTTAAACTGTTGCTCTTATTGTTGCGAACTGAGGCTTGACAACTCTGGTGTCTCTTCCTCCAGTGGCCGATACGACATGGAATCATTGAAGACTGGGATCTTATGGAAAGGTTCATGGAGCAAGTGGTTTTTAAATATCTTCGAGCTGAACCTGAGGACCATTATTTTTTAATGGTGAGTAACTGGAACTAAGAGGAATATATTCCTGTAAATTCCAAATTGCTTAGATTTTAAACTGAAGATATTCTTTTCTAGGGCGTTTTAAATTTCTTCTAAAGATATGTGCATGAATCAGGCTGCTTTTTTGAAAATAAAGCTCAATAAAAATGTTCAGAACAAAAAGGGCTTGTTAGCTCACCAAACAGGAAGCCCAAGTGAGGCAGCTCTAGGGCTGTTGTTTTAGCAGCTCAGCGATGGAATTGCACATGCAGCCTAGGGCACTAGCTGGAGCTCTTCTGTTTGTTCCCCCTGGGTCCAGGGTGGCTGCCAAATTCCTAGATCACCTCTTTGGACATTTCCATACAGAGATAGAAGATTTCCCTTGCACTTTTTAAGAATTTAGAGACCCTTTCCCAGAAACCTTCCCAGCACATTTGCCCCATCTGCCTATGCCTAACCTGGTTAGAGCAATAGGAATGGATTTACTGTGACTGGTTTAGATTCTTGAAGACTTTCTCCTTGGAGTGGGGACCAGGAGAACCTGTCTGATGTTCTGGACCCTAGAGGAGGGTAAGTAGCTAAACAGGCCTCCAAAAGCAAGGACAATAGAAGGAGGAATGGATTTGGATAAACCAACTGCCTACTTTAGTTTTCTTGAGACATAGCAAGATGATTGTAATTATTGCCACTTATAGCAGAGGAAACCAGGTCAAGATGTTGTTTTTTTCTAGGGTTTAAATGTTACTGTAAAATAAAACTGAACTGAGTTATGGGCCCTAATTATATACTTAACTGATTTCATTCAAATGAAATGAAACATCACAGATAAATGAGAAGAAATATCTCCTCGTTCTCTAGTGGTTCTACTCAACATTACATGTTTTCTTCCGTGAGATGCTCTTTTCATCAAGTTAAAATTAATTATATGTACAGAATGCTTGCTTTATAGAGGGCAGTTTCATGTGACGTAAGCTGCGTATTAAACCTGCATAATTTAGGTTTGGATTTTTTTTCATGCAAGTACGTTGTCAAATGGTCCCAGATCCAATTATAAAATTCTTTCTGATGTTAGGATATGAAGTGTTTTTAAGAATTATCTGGTATAAGAAATATTTTAACTATAAGGCTAATAGTTAATGGAATAACTATTAAATATGGAATAACTCTATAACGAATATATGTATTTAATGTATATTAAAGCCAGTCTTTGATCTTTTTTCCCTGGCTGTGTCTTCACAGCTGAAATTGCCAAGTATGGCTACTGCATTTCACAGGCCACTCTGTTTTCTCTGTACATCCATAGTGGTTTATTTTATTTTACTGTTTTGCTCTGTATTTTATTTTTCTAGAAATGGGATCTTGCTCTGTTGTCCAGGTTGGAGTTCTGTGGCACAATCCTAGCTCACTGCAGCCTCGGACTCTGGGCTCAGTTGATCCTCCCACCTCAACCACCTGAGTAGCTCGGACCACAGGTAGAAGCCACTAGCCTGGCTAATTTTTAAAAATTTTTTTGTGGAGATGGGGTCTTGCTATGTTGTCCAAGCTGGCCTCAAACTCCTGGGCTTAAGTGATCCTCCCACTTTAGCCTCCCAAAGCGTTGGGATTATAGGCATGAGCCACCATACCCGGCCCACAGTTGTTTATGTGGAGCAAATGGAGCCAAGAAACTGACTGTGTGTGAGTGGCTTTGTCTTTACAGCCAAAACAAATCACAGATTCCCACCTGTCAGATTTGGCATTTTTCCTTCTGTAGCATATCACATAAACTACCTGTTGGATAGGATTTTAGGAGCAGGCACCGAGCCCAGCTGCTTCCTTCTGTCTACTTCAGCTTCCCATGCCAGGAGTTCTTGCTTTACTTAGAGGGACATCTAATCTTAGGCATGTGGAGCAAATATGGACCACCACACAGCTCACAGGAATTTTTATTAAAGGGGACTCTTCTGATTTAGCTGGCATACATGAGATAGTAAAATGTAACCACTTGCCAGGATGGAATTGGAGGGGTTTGGTGTGAACATGGAAAAGGCCATTTGCTAAAAATGGGCACCTGCAATGAATGTTCAAAAACAATCAGGTTTATTATTAAAAAGATAAGAAAATATCGTATTACATGTGTTGTGCTTTGAATTCTGCAAGTCATTCTGTTGCATGTTGTGGTTGAGGAAGTGATGAGAATGGTAAATTTCCTTCAGGTATTTGTCCTTAACCGTATGTTAATGGAATAGTTAAAGGGGAGTGAACCAGGTGGAAAGATTTAAGACCAAGCCATCAAAGTGAATTGAAGACTTAAAGAGAGTCTTGAGAGGCCCAAATGATGGACCCCACAGGAGCTCACAGAATTATCCTTTCTGATGGCCGTGCCCAGTCATCTGAACATGCAGAGAGAATGAGCTCCTTGCCACTGACTGTTTTCAAGGAGGTGCAGAGACTCAGCTTACACTGGTTATGTGGACTGAGCACCTGGGAACTCCACTCTTCCCCAATATTGCATTGCCCAGAGCTCAGAACGCACTCAGAGATGTCAAAGAGATGCAGTGCTCTTGAGTGGAAACTGAATTAGAACTTCGGAAGGGATTTGCAAACTTTTTGAATATAAATCCTGCAAGAGCAAACAAGCAGCACATGCAGACGACCAGCAATGAGAGGGCGTGGTGATTCTGAGGACCTGACTTGGTTAGGGTGACGAGAGCGGGGGAGTGTGGAGAGAGGAGGTCAGGCAGCCTTTGCGCAGTGTAGACAGTGAGAGCCACGTGGCCAGTTTTGTGTTTTAGGGAGACTTTGTGGGCAGACACCTCTGGCACACAGAGTCTTGAAGATGACCCCATGTGAGGTGACAGGTGCCTCCGAGGAGGGCGTAGGGTGAGAATGGCAGGAGTGGGTGGAGGGGAGTTCTGTCATTTGCGAGGTTCTTAAAATTATGTAAGGAGATATGTATAGTCAAAACCACCCATGAAAATCCTTCAGGAAGGGCCAGTTTATACAGCTCTGAGTCAGTGGGAGAATATGGATTTTCCCTCAGCGTGGAGGAACTTTCTTCTGCACCAGCTGGGGTGGTTGACTTACATTTAGGAGTACAGTATGGTGTGTGGAAGCACGCATTGTTTGTTAGGTTGCCCTCAGTCCAGCACTTTGCTCCCAGTCCCAGTATGTTGAAGCTGAGACCGCCTGAGAACAATCAAACTCCCAGAGCCAGTACTCATTAAGGAGCCCGGGCAGACATTGTATTGAGCAATCAGGCTTCCAGAGCCAGTACTCATTAAGGAGCCCGGGCAGACATTGTATCACTCATGGAGTTATTTCGCCTGCTCTCATATTTGGCCTCATTGTTCTGGCTTGTACCCTCACTAGCTTTTGTATGCTGTTGTGTTTTTGGAGCATGTACAGTTGGTTGGGGTAAGTTACATATAGTTAGCAGAGATATACAGGAGGTAGAATTGATGGGTCTTAGTGATGAGAATTGGTAGCAGTTAAGAGAGAAATCTAGGATGACTCAGATTTTGAGATGGGGCAGTGCATGGATGATAATGTGATTGGTTAAGATGGGAAACATGAGAAGAAACTCACTTGAGGGAGGGAGGGAGGAGGAAGAAGGAGAGTTTGGTTTTGTACATGCTGAGGTCGAAGCGTCTGACTGGGCTACACAGGTAAAGAAGCCGAGGAGCAGCCAGCTCCAAGCAGCAGGTGTTGATGTAGGAGTCAGTAGCATTCACGTGTTGATAGTTGATGGAAAATTAACTCTGATTACTAAAAATAAAACGTACCATCCATGGTATTTTAGAGATGAACCTACGAATACATGATTATCTTGAAATCTCTAGGTAAAGTTAGTGCTCTGTGAAATCATTTTCCTCATGAACCTGGTGAAATAAAAAAATGCTAGCCATAGCAGTGCCCTACATCTGAATCACAATTGCGTTATGTCCTAGTTTCCTTCCTGAATTCTTGAGAATGGTTAGACCTGCCTTGTGCACTTCACTAACCAGTGTAGACCTAGCCAGTGTAGACCTAGCCAGTGTAGAGGTCAGCTTTCTTGGATTTGCTAAGTCACCTCCTGCACGTACTTTCCAGCTTCCAGTATGTTGTCGCCTCCTCTCCTATCTCGCTTCCTTGAGGATTTGTATTTTTAAAAATGTTTCTTTACTGTAGTTTTAGAGGGGCATGGAGGTGGAGTAATATTAGATACATGTGTTCAATTTTCTGTCTTTATCCAGAAATATGGGTTGGTTTTATGATAGTCATTATTCATTTTTAAATCAATACCAGGTGATAATTTTACCATTGTTATGAATAAAAATGTTTATGTAGCTTGCATTCATTGATGCTTTGATCATCTGCTTCTATATTTAAAACCAGATTATTCTCTTTCTCTTCTTCTCACTGCTGCACTTGACTAGTCTTAAAGAGAGAAAAAAACCCAGAAAAACTGGACGTCTCCAATTTAGATCTTGTTATAAATAATAGTTTGAGAATAATACATTTGTCTCCTAAAGGAATAATTATAACATCAATAGTGGTGGATAGAGATGAAATGGGAGGTTGAGGAAGATGGAGGGTTTGTGATTGTGGTCCTCAGAACCCATAAGGATGTGGCCTGAATAACGTCGATTTTGATTCAAGAACCAGGAGAACATCATTATATTGTAAATGTTCCCTTAAATGGAAATACATAGATTTTAATTCTTCAAAGACGGTGAAGTGTTTTTGGCAGCAAGTAATAGAAGTATAAAAGCAGTAGTTTAAAAAAGTTAAGGCTTTATTTTTCTTAAATAAATTTGCAGTAGAGTCCAGTGCTGATATGGCAGCTCTCTGGTGTGGCTAACAATCTCTCTACTCTAGTGTCTTGAATATATGGCTTTCATTCTAAGGATGCCTCATGATCACCAGTTGATTACTGCACCTCCAGCTATCACCTCTGTGTTCCAGGAAGGAGGAGGGTGTTAAGGGCAGGAGGCAAGTCTACTACTTGAGTCTACCTCAGCTTTGTAAGGAGCTTTCCTGGCAACCATACTCCAGCTTTTGTGTCTTACTGGCCTGAACTTACTTACTTAGTCATCCCTGTCCACAAGGAAGTCTGGGAAATGCTTTTTTCTGGGCCTGTTGCCATTTCCCATCATAGATCAGTGGTCTGTCAGTCACAAACTTGCAGTGTTGGTAAGAGCAACTCACAATGCCTGTCATAGTGGTGTCACTCAAAGGCATGAAGACAGTAGCAAGGGAGAGATTCAGCTGCTTTCACAACTCTGGCTGGATTTTACCTATGTGGAGAGTGTCACCCATGTTAGGGAGCCTCTGGCCAGGAGGAAGCTGTGGCAAGATGTGCTGCATCTCCTGCTTGGCATTGCCATCTTGCTGCCGTAAGTCTGTCTGTGGATAAAATACATTAGGAAATTGGGAAGTTAGATGAGGAGTTTGTGTGATCTTGCCCCACAGCCATAACTCGGAGTTTAACACTTCACATAGAGATCATTTCCCCCTTCACTACAGTAGAATTGTAAGTATAGAAAATTTGGAAGATATCTATGGGACTTTTTATAGTCTTATCACATTAACATAGGTACTGTTGACATTTAGTATATTTTCATTTAATCTTTTTACCCATTTTTAAAATGATTTTACACCCAATATTATACTCCTCATTTCCTTACAGTTTTCATAACCCTTATTTTAACAGCTATATGATAATCTGTCTAGTAGGTATTTCCTGCTTAGCAGTTCCACTATTTTTAGTCATTTTCTTGGTTTTATAAGAAATAATGTAATCTTTGTGCATACAGTTTTTCCTGTATTTCGAGTCTTTTTTACTTAAAAAGAACTAGCAGTGTTTGATTATGGAGTTCAGCAGTGTTAGTAATTTATTAGTCTCTGCACAGTGTGCCATTTCAGACTGCTGTCAGCACCGCGCAAGAGGCTTGCTTTCTTTGTACTCTTGTCAGCATTAATATTATTTTTGATCATTTAATGGATTAAAATTTGCCATATGCTTTACATTTGCATTTTTGATAACTTTGACCTTATACATTTTTCCACATTAGTTAGTTGTATTTCCTCTTTTGCGAGCTGTCTGTTCATGCCCTGTGCTCTTTTACGTATCGTTGTTTTATTGCTTTTCTTGTTGCTGTGATTTCTATGAACTTTGTTTTTACTTAACTTTTTTTTATTCTAAAATACACATAACAGAATTTATCATTTGAACCATTTTTGAATGTGCAGCTTGGTGGCATTAGGCACATTCACAAACCATTGCCACCGTCTGTCTCCAGAAGCCTTTTCATCTTCCCAAACTAAAACTCTGTCCCCGTTGAACACGAATTCTCTTTACTCCTTTACCTGCCCCTGGAATGCCCATTTTACTTTCTGTCTCTATACATTTGATGACTCTAGGGCCCTCATATAAATGGAATCATATAGTATTTGTCCTTTTGTGACCAGCTTACTTCACTTAGCGTCTTCAAGCTTCATCCATGTTGAAGCATGTGCCAGGATTCCTTTCTTTTTAAGGCTGAATAATATTCCATTGTACATAGATACCACATTCTGCTTATTCTCTGGAAGCTTTCATATAATTAAGATAGAAAGCTTCTTTTGTTGTTATATTTGCAGCAGGTTAGTTTTACTCAGTTAATTTTTTGCCTTTCTCTTTTGGTTATTTCATTTGGACATCCATAACTTTAAATTTGTATGTTGGTAAAACCCATTTTCCTTTGATGTTTGTACTTAATCTTCATCCATCTGGGATTTATTTGTATCATCATTTCACACTGAACTTAGACCCAGAGAGAATGCAGGGAGCCAGGGTTAATCTGATTCTTGTTGGTGATGTCTTCCTACAGGTCTGTTTTTGCTTCAGGTTAAATAGGCAGCTCTTTGCTGGGAGGCAAGAAACCTTCCCCAGCTCTACTCAGAAATCTTCATACCTTCTTAACCTTTCTCTCCTGATACTTCCCCACCTCTACTCAGTTTAAATATTTTGTTTATTTCAGTTATAATTATGCTTGGGTTCCTATTCAAGATGAGAAACATAGGTTTCTTTAGTTAATATGTTATTTCTTCTGGGATGAGATACAATATTGGCTATTATGGCTGTTTATTGAGTACTTCTATGTGCCCAGCCCCATTCTAAGTGTTTACAAGTATTAACTCATTTTTTAATGCCACCAACAACCCTCTGAGATAGGTGATGTTATTAGGCCCACTTTTCAGATCGACAGGAGGTAGCTTAAGAGAGAGATTGTACACACTACTATTGGAATCTGCATCTCTTACTCATGTGCTTTAAATGAAGGAAATCTAAAGTAGTAATCGCTAACATTTATACTTCTAACTGTGTTCTGGGCACTTCACTGCTATTAGCAGATTTAATCTCCTCAGCCCGAGTAGGCGCATTGAAATAAATACCATGTTGTGGAGTGCTTTTTAGGTTCCCTATTTGCAGCCTGTGTTTGAGTATGACTTCATTATTCTCCCTTCCACATTTTGAGATGGCTTCCTCTCTCCCATCCAGGAATTGATGGATTCTAATTACAGTGACTAAAACTTACTTGGGGCAGTGTGTTTGAACTTTTCACCAGCTGCTGTGCCAGAGTTTAAAGTGCCAGGCTAGTTGGTAGGTAGATTTGCTTGCTTGTTGTTTGAAGAAGTGATGCACACACAGTGCAGAACTGAAAAGGTGCTGGAAGATTTCTAGGGAGCGTGCCCCCCTCGCCTCTTTCCTGCCTAGAGGAAGCCGCCCTTACCCGTTCTTAGCCAGCTGATTGTTCATGTTCCAGGGGTGATTGTGTGTAGGCATATGGGTTAGCACACACTTGTTTTTGTTTTTTCTTTTTTTTTTTTGTTTTTTTTTGAGACGGAGTCTTGCTCTGTAGCCCAGGCTGGAGTGCAGTGGCACGATCTCAGCTCACCGCAACCTCCGCCTCCCGGGTTCAAGCAATTCCCCTGCCTCAAGCCTCCTGAGTAGCTAGGACTACAGGTATGTGCCACCACGCCTGGCTAATTTTTGTATATTTAGTAGAGACGGGGTTTCACTGTGTTGGTCAGGCTGGTCTCAAACTCCTGACCTCATGATCCGCCCACCTCAGCCTCCTAAAGTGTTGGGATTATAGGTGTGAGCCACTGCGCCCAGCTAGCACACAGTTTTATTTTACACAAATGGTAACACAATATGCATACTGTTGCACACCTTGGATTTTTGAATTAAACTTTTTTTTTTGGTTTAAATTGTAAAAAAAACCCTAATACTATTTGTACCCTATTAGCCATTTTTAACTGTACAATTTTGTAATGTTAACTATATTCACACTGTTGTGTAAGAGATTCTAGAACTTTTCCATCTTGCAAAACTGAAACTCCGTACTCATTGAACGAGTCCCCATTATTTCCCCTCTCCCTCCACCTTGTTTTTTGTTTTTGAGATGGAGTTAACTCTTGTTGCCCAGGCTGGAGTACAGTGGCACCACCTCAGCTCACTGTAACCTCTGCCTCCCAGGTTTAAGCAATTCTGCTGCCTCAGCCACCCGACTGGCTGGGATTACAGGCGTGCACCACCACGCCCAGCTAATTTTTGTATTTTTAGCAGAGATGGGGTTTCCCCATGTTGGCCAGGCTGGTCTTGAACTCCTGACCTCAGGTGATCCACCTGCCCCTGCCTCCCAAAGTGCTGGGATTACAGGTGTGAGCCACAGCACCCAGCCTGTTTTTTTTTTTTTTTTTTTTGTTGTTGTTTTTTGAGAGGGGGTCTCTATGTTGTCCAAGCTGGAGTGCAGTGACTATTCACAGGTGCAGTCATACAGCCACTACAGCCTCGACCTCCTGGGCTGGAGTGATCCTCCTGCCTCAGCCTCCTGAGTAGCTGGGACTACAGGCACACACCCGGCTACCACACCTTGTTTTTTAAAAATAGTTTTTGGCCTGGCATGGTGGCTCACGCCTTGTAATCCCAGCCTTTGGGAGGCCGAAGTGGTGGATCACTTGAGGTCAGGAGTTCGAGACCAGCCTGGCCAACATCGTGAAACCCTGTCTCTACTAAAAATACAAAACTTAACTGAGCGTGATGGCATGTGCCTGTAATCCCAGCTACTCTGGAGGCAGAGGCAGGAGAATTGCTTGAATTCTGGGAGGTGGAGTCTCCCAGAGATCCGAGATTGGGCTACTGCACTTGAGCCTGGTTGACAGAGTGAGACGCTGTCTCAAAAAAAAAAAAAAAAAAGTTTTCATTACAAATTGTTGAAGCAGAAGGATATTTAAAAATGTATACGGAATGGAGACACCTCTTTTTCACTTAACAATTCATCATAGAGATTGTTTCTTCATAGAGTTCATTTTTTTAAATTGTTCCAAAGTGTTTAGTGATGGGTATTTAGGTTGTTTCTGATCTTCTGATACAGACAATGTTGACTTTTTACCTTTCCAAGCTACTTTGTTTTAGTTGGGTCTCTTAACCTCAGAATGTAATTTGATTTTGTTTTTGTTTTTAACTGAGAGACTTTTAGTAGTTGAATTTCCCATTTGTATTTGCTGATAATTTTAGTAATAGCAACTCACTTCCATTGAACACATCTGTGTATCCAGTACTGCTCTAAGCACATTATTTAGACTGCCTTTAATCTTTCCAACTCTCTGAGTGGGGTACTAATTACCTGCACTTTACCCATGAGGAGACTCAGGGAGAGAGGAAATAGCTTACCAAGCCTAGTAAAGTGGAAGGCTGGGATTTGATCCCAGTCAGTTTGACTTCACATCTCTTAATCGGACTGGTATGGCATGCTACTGTGTGACAGATACGTTTGGTCTTAATTTAACTATTTTTTAAAAATGTTATGCTTCATGTTTTTAATGTATTTTATTTATGTATTAGTATTTTTTAACTGAAGACTTGTTTTTCTCTTTGCTTTTTATTGGGTGTGTGTTCTTGGTAATAATTAAAAGGACTCATGTTTGCATATTTTAGTATAATTTGATATATTTACCCTGTATTTGTTTAGGGGTAACTATCTCCTTCCTGCTGTAATCAGTGACCAGGTTGGTATTGCCACATGTTCTTGCCTCCCCTTCCTTCTCTCCACCACCTGCTTTTGATTAATGATGTCACTAAACTTATTCCAGTGTTAACATTTATAACTTTATGTTTACTAATGCCTCTGATACTTTATCAGTTTTAAATAATATCTTTTGATTTCACTGTAAGAGGCAAGTGTCTTTACACTCTCTCCTTCTTTCCTTGTGCACTGCTCAACTTGATAACATTTTTTTCCATTAAAATTTATAACATTTACATTCTGTTCTTAATTCCCAGAAAATAAAAGTCTTTTTTTTTTTTTTTTTTTTTTTTTTTTTGAGACGGAGTCTTACTCCATCGCCCAGGCTGGAATGCAGTGGTGCGATCTCAGCTCACTGCAACCTCCGCCTCCCACGTTCAAGCAATTCTCCTGCCTCAGCCACCCAAGTAGCTGGGACTACAGGTGCACACCACCATGCCTGGCTAATTTTTGTATTTTTAGTAGAGATGGGGTTTCACCATGTTGGTCAGGCTGGTCTCAAACTCCTGACCTCAGGTGATCCGCCCGCCTCGGCCTCCCAAAGTGCTGGGATTACAGGCATGAGCCACCGTGCCCGGCCAAAGAAAAGTCTTTATTCCTACATCTTAAATGGCTTCATTGCTCACTGTAAGTCTTTTGCTGGACTTTCTGCATTCTTCTTGAGTGGATAAAGTTTATCCTCTAATAGTTCATGAACCCATACATTTTGGCTCATGGGAATGAAATTTTCCAAGTTCTTGTATGTTTAAGGATATATATTTTTTCTCCTTAGTATTTTATTTTATTGTTTTTTTTTAAATTGACACATAATGTGCATATTTATGGGGTACAGAGTGAAGTTTTGATACATATAATGTGTGGTTATCAGATCAGGGTAATTAGCATATCCATCATCTCAAATATTAGATATTTTGATTTTGTAACATACTTGATTGACACTGTGGCCAGATATAGAATTCTTGGGTCGTACCTTCTTCCCTTGAAGACTCTAAGTGTGGCCCTATGTGTCCTAGTGTTAAATGTAGCCGTGTTGAAGGCTGAGGCTGATTGTACTTTCCCTGTCGTAGGGGTGTATTAGTCTACTCGGCTGCTGTAATTTTGTTTATACCACAGGTTGGGTGGCGTAAACAGCAGACAGTTCGTTGTTTTCTCACAGTTCTGGAGGTTAGAAGTCCAAGGTCGAGGTGCCGTCGGGGTTGGCTCCTGGCGCAGCCCTCTTCCTGGCTTGTATGTGGTCACCTTTCCTGCTGGGTCCTCACATGCCTTTCCCCTGTGTGAGCGTAGAGTGGGGAGAGAATAGGAGAGAGAGACTGATTTCTGGTGTCTCTTCCTTTTCTTAGAAGACCTTCCTCCAGTCCTGTCAAATTAGGGCCCCACCCCTATGACCTCAGGTAACCGTGATGACCTCTTGAAAGGCCCTATTTCCAATTATAGTACACTGGGAGTTAGGGCTTTAATGTATGAACTGGAGGTAGGGGGAGCACAGTTCATTCATAATAAAGGGTAATGTATACGTTTTGCCCAAAGGTCCAGAGACTTTTTATTTTTTCAGTTTTAAATACGAGATATAGACCCATATTTGTTGACAAGGAAAAATGTTCATAGTATATTGTTGAATGAGAAAAATCAAGTTTATTTATTCTTTTTCTGTTTCTGTTGTCTGTCATTTTGTCCTGTTTGATGACGGTTATTGTTTTAAAATAGATACTTGGATTCTTGGAAATGTCTTTGGAAATTCTTGGCAATTTTTATCTGCTTTGTTTCAATATTTTTCCAGATATTTTTTTTTTCGGTCTTTTGGAGACAGGATCTTGCTCTGTCACCCAGGTTGGAGTGCAGTGGCACAATCTTGGTTCATGTAGCCTTCACCTCCGAGGCTCAAGTGGTCCTACCTCAGCCCCCGAGTAGCTGGGATCACAGGCATGTGCCACCACACTTGGCTGACTTTTAAATTTTTTCATAGAGGTGGGGTCTCCCAATATTGCCCAGGCTGGTCTCAAACTCCTGGACTCAAGTGATCCTCCCTCCTCAGCCTCCTAAAGTGCTAGGATGATGGGCGTGAGCTACCACGCCTGCCCCTGGATATGTGTTTTTGTCTGCCATTTGTTTTTCCTCTTTTCTCTGTCCCTTTTCTTTCTCTTTGAGTGTTTTTATATCACTGTTGGCTGGCTTCTTTGTGCCCCTTACTCGTCTCTGAATGAGCAGAGTTCTTCTGGACTAATGGCGTGTGGGTAGGCTGGGGAGGTCCTGGGCAGCGTCTGGGGGAAGCTGTGATCTGCCCTGGACTCTTCCCTTGCCGCTGGACTGTAAGGGTGCTTGGCCTAACCCTGCCTGCTCTGCCACCCTGTGGCTCCTCACACCGGCCTGTCCTGAGCAAGGGCTTGCTGCTGCTCCTCTGGCTCTCCTTTGCTGAGACCTGAAGTCACCGGTTCGCCTTTGATGTCCTCACTCGTCTTGGTTGTGTTTTCATAGCCCTTGGCAACTTGCTTCTGGGATATTCAGTTTCGGGGTGTTTAGGTGTTACGTTATTGAAGATAAGAGTTTCTTTTTCTGTAACTTGTTCTAATTTGGGTGGGTAATAAGAACAGAGGCCTTCAGAGAAGTATTTACTCTGACGTCTTAAAGCTTTTAAGGCCCATGGCCAGATTTCTTTAATACACTTTGGGCATCCTCTGTCTGTAAAATTAGGGAATTGTATAATGTCCTCGCTAACATACTTTCAGGTTAACCTGTTTATGGTTCTGATGTATTTACATGAAATTCGGGTAAACACTAAATATAGTGAATGTTTTCTTACAGACAGAACCTCCACTCAATACACCAGAAAACAGAGAGTATCTTGCAGAAATTATGTTTGAATCATTTAACGTACCAGGACTCTACATTGCAGTTCAGGTAAAACCAGTTACGTTTGTGATTCCTAAAGCACCTGAGCTGTCTAGTAGCGGAAGAAATGGTATTTCCCAAGGTTCTCCGCTGGAAGACTGCGCTGTGTGCCCTTCCTTTTTCCACTCCCTCCCCCGTCCCCATGCCATTCAGGACTATAGGGAACGTGTCCCATGACTTTTCTTTTTATTTTGATGCCATTTTTTGGTATAGACGTCGTCTGGCTCTTTTTACGTGCATTAAAGTCTAATGCATTTTTATCTGGGTGACAAGATATAGGTGTAGATGTGCTTCTTCTTTTGGCATCTTTGACTTTGATCAGAAAAACAAAATAATTACCTTTAGAGGTTTCCCCTTTCCGATTTTGGGCTCTTATGAGTCCCAGTGTACTTGATTCTGAGGGACCCTGTGTTTTCATGAGCTCGCAGAACTTGTTCTGAAGCTGCGGTTCTTGGTGTGATATTTTTTGGTTGCATTTGGTCATTATTTGCCTGCCACCTTATGTAAGGGAATTGACTGAAATTTTGGGGAATAAATGAGATGGGTGTTGCCCAAATGTTTTCTGCATAATACTAGTCACTTCTAAGGAGGAGGAGGAGGAGGAGGAAAAGTTCCATAGAAAGATGAATTTGGGCGATGCTGCATCCTGCAGCTTTCTCGGGCTGATTCACAGCGCCTATCAGCACAGTCCAGGCTCTGAGGATTCCTGTGTCGAAATCTATGTATTCTAGCACTTCCAAATTTATTTAACTACAGATCTTCCCCCGGCTAAGTTACTTATATTCCATGGCCTAGGGAAACACTTCAGGAGACATAAGACTGGTGGTTCTCGAAGTGGTCTGTGCAGCAAGTTTACCTGGAGAATGTTTTTTAGAAGCACAGATTTTGGGCTTCGTCTTCGACCAGGGTTTTCCACCCTCAGTGCTTTGGGCTGGGTAGTCCTTTGTTGTGGGCGCCGCCGTGTGCATTGCAGGGAGCGTAGCAGCATCCCTGGCCTCTGCCCACTGGAAGACAGCAGCCCCACCTCAAGCCTCCCCGCCCCGACGAAGAAAATGGTACCAGATATTGTCAGATGTTCCCTTTGGGGCAACATTTTCTTTGGTTGAAAAATTACCCTGTACCTTCCAGATTAGAATTTCTGGGTGTGAGGCCTAGTAATCTGTATTTTAAACAACTCCACAAGTGACCTCATTGCCAATCTGTGGCCCCACGCCGGAAACCAATGAATTAGAAATTAAAATCTTATGATTCTATAATGAAATATCTTTTTCACTGGCTTTTCTTTGTAAAACTTTAGTTTTTTTTTTTTCTTTCCTTTTTTTATTTTTGAGACAAGGTCTCACTGTGTTGTCCAGGCTGGAGTGCAGTGGTGCAATTATGGCTCACTCTAGCTGCGACCTTCTGGGATGAAGGGATCCTCCCACCTCAGTCTCCCGAGTAGCTGGGAGTACACGTGCGTGTCACCACGCCTGGCTAATTTTTGTATTATTTGTAGAGATGGGGTTTCACCATGTTGCCCAGGCTGGTCTCGAACTCTTGGGTTCAAGTGATCTGCCTACCTTAGCCTCCCAAAGTTTTGGGATTACAGGCATGAGTCACCACAGTCAGCCACGTTTCTTTATTGAAAACTTGACTCCTATAGTTGTAAGTACTCAACATTTTCGTGTTAGTTGTCCAAGTTTGAATTGGAATTTGAGGGACAGGGGTTAGAGGATGGATAGGAAAAGGAAAGAGTTACTCAGACATATTAAGTAAGAGAGTTTGTTGATTGGACCTGGAAGGAGCAGGCAGGTGGCTTTAGAAAGAGTTCCTATGTGCGAGCGGTTTTCATGTCTTTTCTCCAGGCAGTGCTGGCCTTGGCGGCATCTTGGACATCTCGACAAGTGGGTGAACGTACGTTAACGGGGATAGTCATTGACAGCGGAGATGGAGTCACCCATGTTATCCCAGTGGTAAGCAGAATAGTTAATATATAAGTCTCTGTAGGCTTAACACCTGATTCGAGGTAAGGATGGAAATAAAAAAAAAAAAAACCTCTTCTGTAATGGAAATACAATTTAGATGATAGTTGTACTTAGAAAGATAATAAAAGTTTTTTATTTTTTGCCACCTTATATAAAGGAATTCCCCAAGTATGTGGGAAAGAATGAAAAGGATGGCCAATTATTGTGGCTTTGGCAATTTTCAATTCATGGTGGCATATTTTTACAGTCAGAATGTCAGAGAATGTCCAGGATGTCTCTGGATCTTCAGAGCCTCTGCTTGATCCCCGTGGGTGTAACATCAACAAGAACATTTTCTGGGGTTATTCCGACATGTTGGGAGATAGACACCGTTTTGGATGTTGAATTTGTAGGTGCAGTGCGTGGCCATTTGAAGGAGCACATCTGTGTTCTCTGAAAAGATGTGAATGGCAACCAGCTCAAGCTTGGAAAAATTGCTTTTTGTTTTAAAAATTTATTTAAGGGCTGGGCGCGGTGGCTCACGCCTGTAATCCCAGCACTTTGGGAGGCCAAGGCGGGCGGATCACCTGAGGTCGGGAATTTGAGACCTGCCTGACCAACATGGAGAAACCCTGTCTCTACTACAAATGCAAAATTAGCCAGGTGTGGTGGCGCATGCCTGTCCCAGCTACCTGGGAGGCTGAGGCAGGAGAATCGCTTGAACCCGGGAGACGGAGGTTGCAGTGAGCCGAGATCGCACCATTGCACCCCAGCTGGGCAACAAGAGCGAAACTCCGTCTCAAAAAAAAAAAAAATTTAAAAGCCAAGAAGGGGAGATTGTACATTTTGGCTTGCAGAAGGCTCTGCAATGCCGCTTTTTGGTTTCAGAGAAGTGATTCCTAATTTGGGTTTCAAGAGATCTCTGAATTTTTCTTTTGGTCCAATGGACTATTTAAAGGAATTATCTTAAATTCATTTTTTTTGGAAAATGTATCGGAAGTGTCTGAAGAGGGTATTCAGAGGGAAGTCATACTCATCCTGGTCTTTCTCCTTTGAGGTCTCCTCCTCAGGAACCACCATTGCTAGTTACTTCTGTTATGTTACAGATAATGTTTCTGCATATGTATATGGGGGGGTGTGTATGTGTATATATTTACATACACACAGCTCTTTTAAAATGCAAATTAGGATTTTCAAAAATCATTTAATTTAATTGAAAAAATGGTCACCATTTCATTTTGAGAAGGTGATGGGGTGACGTACTAATACCAATGCCTTTAATTCCTTGAAGGTTAGGTATCACTGCAGAGGAAAGGCTTAATGGTCGATGGGCCTACAGTCAGGGAGAAAAAAGCCAGCCTCCCGCCCCCATACCTTGTACTCCTGGCTACGTGTCCTTCCTGTGGGGAGGAGAGGTGGCTGCCCTGCCCTGTGAAGTGTGCTCTAGACTTGAGCCCCCTTCAAGCCAGTCTCAGCACTCCTTTCTGTGGATCTTGAGAAGAGTTAGTGCCCTGGGTGCAGAGCACTCACGGAGAACTCAGGCTTCCGTTTCCTCAGAGAGCTGTGCTGCTGAGATCCAAGATGAGGCCCCCGTAGGCCCCTGGCCTGCACCCCCTTTGGTTCTTTGCCTATTTCTTATGTCTGATTTAGGAAAAGGAAAGAAAATACATTTCACAGTGTGTCCAGGCCCACTAAGAAAGTTGTTTGAAAAGATTTTTAATCGTATCTTAGTTCAGTTTTTCCTCCAGCTGTAAAAATTACATTAGTCATTGAAAATTTGGATAAAATAGACAAATTTGAAGAAATAAAATTACCTTTAAAGCCACCCAAAGACCTGTATTAATACTTTTAGCTGTATAGTCTTTAAGCTCTTTTTCTTTTTTTTTTGGAGATGGAGTTTCACTCTTGTTGTCCAGGCTGGAGTGCAATGGCACGATCTCGGCACACTGCAACCTCTGCCTCCCAGGTTCAAGCGATTCTCCTGCCTCGGCCTCCTGAGTAGCTGGGATTACAGGCATGCGCCACCATGCCTGACTAATTTGTATTTTTAGTAGAGATGGGGTTTCTCCATATTGGTCAGGCTGGTCTCAAACTGCCGACCTCAGGTGATCCGCCTGTCTTGGCCTCCCAAGGTGCTGGGATTACAGGCGTGAGCCACTATGCCCGGCCTAAGCTCTTTTTCTAAGACACGTGTGCTCACGCATGCGTGCACACACACACACTTTAAACACAATTGGAATGTCTCATGTCTGGTTTGGGATTCTACATATAATACAATCCTAAGGTTATATTTTGCGTATTAATTTAACCCTAGTTTTTTTCTCTTGTGGTTAAATATTCTGTGAAAATACATTTAAGAAGTACATAATTTATTTTTCTGTTGTTGGACATGTATCTTGTTTTAATATTTTTACCACTGTCATGAGCTGATATTTATTTAACAGTATTTTAGAAAATGTTACGTGTAATGCATAGAATATAATAATTGTGAATAGTTTATGTATTAGAAAGCTAATATTATTTTTATGGGTTTAAGTTGAGTTTTAGTAATTTATACTTTTATCTCCATCTTAAAATACCTTACAAATACTTGGACTCTGCAGAAAGGCTACTTTTTTTGCTTCTAGAAGTTACGTATATCAGAAAGAAACCATAGGAGGAATTCAGTAAGTTGTTCTTGCAACTTTACTGGTGACTAGGTGCAGCTATTAGAATGAATACATCTGTAAAATGAAGTCAGCGTTTCACTTCTGTTCCCTTCTGTCTCACTTGGGGACTGTGGCACAGAAGCTGTGATGTGCTGTAACGTGAAACCTGAGTGTCTTTACCGGATGATCCAGCGGTGGGCGTTGTCCACTCTGACGGTCAGCATCCTGCTCATCCCCTGGAGAACAAGCTGGATGTGTGTCCAAGCCTGTGGCTCCTGTGGCAGGTCTGTGCCCACAGGAAGGCTGATGAGGGAGCTTTGGGCCCATCATTGCTGTGGGCATGTGGACACTTGACACTGGCCCTGCCATTGATCGGCCCAGGGCGTGGTCACCCTCCTTTCCTGGCCCCTCACAGACATGCCTTCACTGGCTTAGGGAGGCAGTGGAATGAGAGGCTCCCAGCCCCCAAAACCAGTGCTGTGTGCTCGACACACGCAGTTTCATCTGAACTGTATCATTGGCCCCAGCAGGGTATTGTTTGCCTCATACGATGGACAAACGCGCTGAGGCTGAAGCATGTGAAACTTGCAAATGTGGAGCTGGGATTTGAGTCCAGGTTGTTAGAATCTAAGCCCTGTGTATTAACCAAATTGCTGACTTTTAAACGTAAGTAGATTTATAGTTGGCTTAACAATTTATAAATAAAACTTTTTCCTTTTTATCAGGGAAAGAACCTATTGGGTTTAGTGTTCTTACAGACAGCATTTCTTTTTGGAAATGAACTATCTTATGTGGTTTTTCTTTTCATATTCCTAATGAAATCATTTTGGTTGCTTTTAGAGAGTGTCAGGTTATTGGAATAATCTGGAATTTTGAATATTAATGGAATTGCATATGCAGTCATTTTGAAAGACCTTCTGTACTGAGCTTGCAGAGGGTGGGGATTATGTAAATGCTTGTCAGTGCCATGAGGGGCAGACAGGGAGGCTGAGGCAGGAAACCTTGTGAGTCCAGGCTGCTCTCCACCACGAAATCACTAACACAGCTGTTCTGCCTCCTCTTCTTCCCTAGGCAGAAGGTTATGTAATTGGAAGCTGCATCAAACACATCCCGATTGCAGGTAGAGATATTACGTATTTCATTCAACAGCTGCTAAGGGAGAGGGAGGTGGGAATCCCTCCTGAGCAGTCACTGGAGACCGCAAAAGCCATTAAGGTAAAAACAGATGGGAAACCGGCCGGTTTGGGGGTGAGAGAGATGGTGTTCTGGACACTTCCCCTTGGTGCCATCATCCCTGCTCCTCCTTTCCTTCCTCTCCCCTTCCCATGAATGTGGGGCTTGATTTGTTTTACCCCTTAAGTGGGCTGAAGATGTAAAGCTTAACCTCTTCCAAACTAGATGCTTTGAGGTTTCAGCTGTCACTGAGAACAGCTTGGTAGCTGGTGCAGCGTACCAGCGTGCAGAGGCAGCATTGTTCAGCTGGAGCCTCACTGCTGGAGCCTCATCTACCAGAGGGCTCCTTCCATACTGCCTCCATGCTTCGCTGTAGAATCAGGAGGCGACCACAGCAGCAGAACACTGCCACCCTAGGATCCAGAGCTATTGCACAAAATTCACACACAGGTGTGGCTGTGACGTGTGGCCATAAGCATCTTCTTCCTTTATGGCACAGTTTCTGAGTGTAGCAGAGCTTGATGGGGGTGAGCCCAACACCCACACTTCTCCTCACTGCCTTCCTCCCTTCTCAGCACCTCGTAACTGAGGCTGGCTGAAGGAAAGGAAGCACCAGAGATGATTCCCGAGGTGTTTTTAGGTCAGGAGGCACTGGCATGAGGCAGGCTCTGCAGTTGGGTATGACCTGCCCTGCTTTACCTGGGACCAGAGATTCCTGGGAAGGGGGCTCTCAGCGCTGAAATGGTGATGTGGGGAAGACGTGGTCCCTTCCATCTCAGGGGAAGGTTTCCTGAGGTATCATTAGATATTCTTTTTTAGACTAAAATATTTCCTAAGGGGTCACCTTCTCCTTTCTTTGCCTTTCCTCCATGGAAGAATATTTGACTATTTGATCCAAGCTCCCTTGCCACTCCAAATCTGTTAGAAATGTAAGTCAGAATTGAGCCCCTTCATAGTGGCTCACATCTATAATCCTAGGGCTTTGGGAGGCTGAGGCTGGAGCATTGCTTGAGGCCAGGGTTCGAAACTAGCCCAGGTGATATAGCGAGATCTCGTCTCTATTTCAAAAAAGAAAAAAAAAAAAAGAATTGAGCCTTTTGTTATTGACGCCCAGGGTCCACTCCAGTGAGTCTGAGTCCTCCCTATTTCCGCCAGGATTGCTGAGCAACACTGCCACGGAGGGGCTTTCCTGACCCTCATGCTGGGCCTTCAACTCTCCACACGGGCTGTTGGGGTTCCAATTTGGACCCTGAAATCTGGGCTGATGTGCTCGATGTGACTGTGTGTCTCCCCCCTGTGAAGGCTGGGAGTAAAAGAGACTGTTCATAGCCTCCGAGTCAGCTGCCCTGGCCCTGCTGTGTGGGGTAGCCCTGTTAGTTCTCACCTCACTTCTCTCTTTGAAGGAACAGATCCTGAAAGGCGTGGTTTAGAGCTCCCCCCGCTTCCCCTTACTGCCATGGCCTTCTGTGGTTGTGAACAGGCCTGAGGGAGTGTGTAACGTGAGCACACCACCCTTGCAGCATGAATCCTGAACCTTAAGGTTAAGCCTGTTACTCTGCACCCAACTCAATGGAAACATTTCCTAGCAAGCATTTGAGTTAAGTAAGCTGAGATGCTGTAGGATGTTGACCAGGCCTGTGAGGAGAACTGAATGCCTTTGTCTCCAGTCTTGGTAGATTTGAGGTTGTAATCAGCTGACCCTGTTTCTCTGTGTCATCAAAGAACACAGGGTTGTGTAGCACTTCTTGCCTGTCAGTCTTCTTAAAATTCCGCTAGAGTATATCCAAGATACCCAGAAGATGGCATTAGAATATGTTTCAGGGATGCTAAGAAACTTTAAACTTAATACCACGAGAGCGTCTTTGGAGGTCCTTGAGAGAGCCATTCCTTCCACGGTGTGCTCAGCGCCAGCTGGGCGGCCCACCTCGTGCTTCCCGTAGGCAGCAAGTATCTGGGGGTCACCTGCTGCTATGCGGAGGCCAGCTCTAAGGACACATATCAACACAAAGGTGTCCAAGAACATTCATCTTACCAGATACCCAGGAAACACTTCGCATCCCTCAGGCTGCCTGTCGGTGCAGGGCGGGAATCGTTAGCGACTTCTCTCGCAGCAGCAGCAGCATCCTGGCGGCTTCAGTCCTCCCACCTGACTCTGCTTTTCCTTTCTTCCCCGGGACCTATCACTTTATAACCTACCATGTCATTTACTTATTATGGTTGCTTATTGTTTTCTGACTCCCAGCTAGAGTGTAATCTTGGCAGGGATCTGTGTGTTTCGCTACCTTGTGTATCCCAAGTGCCTAGACAATAAATCTGTGTTGATTGAGGGACTTAGAATACCCAGTCAACAAGGTACACTGTCTCTAGGCAAAGAGATGGTGTCAGTGGAGCTGATGACAGTGCTGTGGCCAGCTCCACACCAGATTAACAACCAGCAGGTTGACAGTGGCCACCCGGCTTGTGGCGTGCTGGGACCCAAATGGGACCCAAAGAAGCCGCTGCAGTCAGGTTTAGGGTGTAGACAGTGCCGCACTCGGTAGTTGAGCTTGCAGCACGGGTCCGCTGGTCCAGTGTGGACCACAGTGAGGTGCCAGAGCAGGCCATAGGAGGCATCTGAGAGGAACAAGGCAAGACGAGGTGCTTTCTAGACACCTGTAGACATCATTTCAGATATGATAGCGATAGAATTGGATAGACCAAGGCTGAGATTAATAGCTGAGTTGCAGAGAAAGCAGACTTACCTGTCCGAAGTCCAAGTGTAACCATGTCTAACATGAAAGACGATGGAATGTGAGGCTTGATGCATATCCACACTAGAGTTACGGTGGGGGCGGTTCTGATCCCAGGGTGTGTTTGCTCATGGGCTTCCTGGTTATTTGTCTGAGGGCAGAGACACTGGGCAGTTGTTAATGCCTGGCAACATCTTTGTGTGTGTATGCAGGAGAAATACTGTTACATTTGCCCCGATATAGTCAAGGAATTTGCCAAGTATGATGTGGATCCCCGGAAGTGGATCAAACAGTACACGGGTATCAATGCGATCAACCAGAAGAAGTTTGTTATAGACGTTGGTTACGAAAGATTCCTGGGACCTGAAATATTCTTTCACCCGGAGGTGAGATGTTTCCTTTTTTGTGTGCTCAAGTGTGGGATGGAGCGATACTGCCACCCAGAGTGTAGAAAGAGCAGTTCCCAGCGAAGGGCCTGTGAGCAGGGTGGCCGTCATTCGGTCTCTCTGCATCCCCTGTGCAGTTTGTCTGCTTGACAGATTGTTCAGTTTGCCTCTCCGTAGAGCTGGTTATCTGTTTTAATAGTTAAGGATGGGTTATACCACAAATAGGAAGACTTTTAGGAGCAATAGATGACAATAGAATTAAAAGTAATCTCCAAGGGTTGTGGGTGGTCACATGCCAGCATTACAAGTAGCTACTCTCAAGGCCTATATGGAGGTTGCCTGTGCATAAGAGTGGGATAATATGTAACCTTTCTATCTTTGGTGATTGCCCTTCCTAACTTCTAATTTTAACCCTGGACAGTTGGTCCTGCTCTATTCCCTGCTGCAAGTTAGGTAAAGCTTCTGTCTAAGGCCAGCATTTCTATTATTTAGATAATCTTAAGAATTAGAAATGTCATCATTTTAACTAGTAGTCATAAGGAATTATTAGTGCTTTTGCAGAAAGCAGTAATTAAGAGGCACATTTTAAGATTTACATATAATGCATTTTATTTATATTTTGGTATATATTCCTGGCTAATTCAGTTTATATTCAGTAGGTGGGTTACAAACTGCTGTTTGTTTTTAGATGTGTATATGACTATTTTGTACAGAGAAACAGCATAGAATGTGTTCCTCGCTAGTAATCTGAATAATAAAATAATAATGATAATCTAGTGAATGCTCACTTTTAATATGTTGATTTGAAATGGACATAGAACAGTCAAATGTCCAGTGAACAGCTGGTGAGCAACTGAATATCCTCCTCCTTCCTCTGAGAGTGCACATTCAAGCTTACTTTGATTTTTTAAAATATTTCAAATGAAATGTAATTGAGTTGAATTTGTTATACTTTAGCTTATTTAACTTATGGAATTGAATCTATGGCTGTTTATTCAATAACATGATTATCATGTGGATTGTTTCATGTTAAACAAACCCTTCTCATTAAACAAAACACTTCCCTGCATCTTCTAGACCAGGTTTAATTAATCTTTCATTGAACCTATTTCTTTTTCCTTATATACTAATTTTCTCATAATACGAATATTGTCAAATGATATGTCAAAGTCATGTTTCTCACTGCGTGTCACATAGATCGTGCACATACTCTCCACTGCTCTTAGTAGACTGAATCACTGTGTATTCATGGGGTGGGGGTGGTCTGTCTGTGATGTTGTTGGTATTTTTTCTTCACTAAATCCATACATTTTACCTCATGAGGAGAAATGTGTCATCACCGCTCCACGCACTTGTAGTCACATGGGATTCATTTGACATATCCTTCATTCCAATGTGAATTCTTTTAAGTTATAATAAATTGTATATTTGTTAAAGTTACTTTAAAGAAGTGTGCATGTTGTTCTATTTGAGAGAAATGTGTAATGTTTCTTTTATATTGATACACAATTCAGTTTGCCAACCCAGACTTTATGGAGTCCATCTCAGATGTTGTTGATGAAGTAATACAGAACTGCCCCATCGATGTGCGGCGCCCGCTGTATAAGGTATGAGCTGCCTGGGTAAGGTACTTTGATTTCATTCCACAATTAAAGGCCCATAATTCTTAGAAGACGGTATTACTGTCTATTACTAGTAAATATCCCTGTTTCACCTTCTGTTTCATAGGATTTGTTAAAGACAATATAATTGTAAGAGAAAATGGAAATATGACTCAGTTAACTAGAATTTTTATTTTATTTTATTTTATTTTGGAGACGGACTCTTGCTCTGTCACCCGGGCTGGAGTGCAGTGGTGCGATCTCAGCTCACTATAACCTCCACCTCCTGGGTTCAAGCAATTCTCCTGCCTCAGCCTCCTGAGTAGCTGGGACTACAGGTGCACGCCACCACACCCAGCGAATTTTTTTTTTTGTATTTCAGTAGAGACGGTGTTTCACCATGTTGCCCAGGCTGGTCTCGAACTCCTGAGCTCAGGCAATCCACCCGCCTTGGCCTCCCAAAGTGCTGGGATTACAGACATGAGCCACCATGCCCGGCCAACTGGAAGTATTTCAGTATTGTAAATATATTTTATTATTATCTGACAAGATATATTTTAAGGTGGACAGTTTTAGCCACAAATATCGATGGAAAGTAAGAGCGGTGCCCTCCCCCATGCTTTCCGTGAATTCCATTGGTTTCGTTTCATGCATATTTGGGTTTGGTGCCAATGTGGTGTCATCACATAGAAGTTAGAGCCCAAAATGGGACAGTCAGATAGAATATGCTCATGTATTATTATGATTTTTTTCAAAATTCTTAGATTTCAGGGAATTTTGAAACCTGGAATGAGGAAAATCTAGTCTATATGATTATTGAGTAAAAAGAAATCCTACTGACAGCCCGAGATGGTGAGCAGGAGGTGATGGGCAATTAGCCTTCCTGCACCTTTAATCAGTCTTTGCTTGAGTGAGTCGCGCCGTCAGCTCAGTGGCATGACTCACTCGCCTTACTCAGACTCAGGTCGCTGAATTGTACAGAGAAGAGAATCAGGCTCAACTGACAGCACTCAGCATTGCGTCACCTGTGCCGTGGAATACTATGTAGCTTTTTAAAAGAATGAGGTAAATCAATATAAATTCAGATGAAAAGATAGCTATAGTATATATTAAGTGAAAAAGGAACTTGTAAAATTTACATATATTTCATTTTATATAAAATATATAGTTTGCGTATTTTTTGAATTATGTATGCTAAACTCTTAAAGTAAATAAAATATCTTTGGGGTGGAATGATGGATAACTTTTACTTTCTCCATTTTGTGTTTTAAAGTTGTTTGAAATTTTACTGTTAAGATTTTTTTATAATTAAAATTTTTTTCTGTTTAGATAACTTTTGAGGGTGTAAACAAATTACAGTTCAGTTTTTGCTGCATATTCTTAAACACTTGTCTAATACAAAGTACAAAGAAAGGGGAACTAGAAAGAGACTGGAGTATGCAAATGAAGAAAGCTAGCGGGTCATGTCCTTCCCACTTCAATCCCACCTGACATTAGCTGTGTCTCCTCATCAGTGAAAGCAGCAGCAGGGAACACTGTTCAATCTTAATCCCATCATAAAGCAGAGGAAACTGCCAGCAGTTACAGATTGCTCCTCACGGGGTGGGAATTTTCTTGTTTGACAGTTTAGCTCCCTGGACTTTATAGAAGTTTTGGAGCAGAGATGGTCTTGGAGACCATGTAGATGGAGCCCCTTATTTAGTAGATAATGACACTGAGCCCCAGAGTTGGGAAAAGGTGGCGAAAGGCGCCTGGGTTATGTGCTAGGTGAGATCATGTGGCTGCCAAGTGGCACGGTTGGCTTTTAAGCCCGTTTCCCGCATCTTTGAAAACTCATGCTTTTCCCACTGTATCACACTGAAAATTATGTAAAATGCGGAGGGAAGAGGATTCTTCTTTTTGTTGCCCGTGCTGGAGTGCAGTGGCGTGATCACAGCTCACTGCAGCCTCGACCTCTCGGGCTCAAGCGATCCTCCTGCTTCAGTCTCCCAAGTAGCTACAGGAACATGCCACCATAGCCGGCAAGATTATTCTTCAAAGAGGGAAACCCTGTCCCTGACCACTTTGTCACTAGGATAATCATTTCTTCTCTGTGGCTTTCAGAAGGGTGTAGCTTGGCCCTGGCTGTCAAGTTTGTGCAGAATAAATCCTGTCTTCCCTCAGCCGTCTTGGTTTTTTTGAACAGGACCTCTCCAGTGTTATGAGTGCCTTGCAAGTGATAGAGAATTCACGTAGGATTGAGAGGTGGAAGGATTGAATGTCCTGGGGCTGGCCATGCTTTCTCGTTTGTCACATAGCTGAACTCTATACCCCGTTGTGGGAAAGGAGAGACACAAAGGAGGTCACCTCCTTTGCCACCTAAGTTAGAGTAGACCAGAATATGTTATGATAAAAATTAATCCAAAATCTCAGTGTTCAGCAGCAAAGGTTTATTTCTTTGCACGTGGTTCACGTCTGGTGTGGTCGGCAGTAGGCTCCACCACCGTGTTGTGGCTGCCCTTCTGGAACACATCGCCTCAGGTCCCCGCTGCCGGGGAGGAGACAGCTGGTGCGCCATTCCACCCCTCCTCCCCGGGCCGTCACGTGGGCCAGCCTCCACCGGGCACTGGAAGCGGGAGGGTGATAGAATGTTTGGTGGGCACCACTGCCTCTCCTGTAGCCACGAAGAAAGGGACTTCTTTCCAAAGTATGGGTCTTGATGACTAAGTTGAAGTTTAATATTGAGGCCTAAGAATGCCCGTTTCTGTGCGTTAGCCTGCCAGGTAACAGCTGCTGTAGTGTTTTTTTTCCCCATGGTGATATGAGACCGGGAGTTGGCCAACTTTTTCTGTAAAGGGCCAGATGGTGAATCATTTTGGCTCTGCAGGCCGTATGGTCTGTGCTGCATTTATTCAGTTCTGCCAGAGCAGCCGAAGACCGTGTTGAACGACTAGGAGTGGCTGGGTTCCTATAAAGTTTTATTTACAAAAGCAGGAGAGAGCCTGTTGTAGACATGTGAGGAGTTACTTATGGAAGCCTCGTTCTAATACTGTCCGGGTTGGCCTGTGATAATTATCTGCGGACCCTCTTCAGGCGGGGCATGTTGAGGCGTGGCCTTTGCTAGTTCCTCAGCAAGTCAGTGCTGCCTTTAGGAAAGACTGTGGAAGAGTCACTGCCGAGCTCTGCTCACAGCCCAGGGTAGAGTCACACACTACTCTAGGGCTCCTGCTGACTTGGTTTCTGGAAGCCGTCAGCCCTCCCAGATGGACTCTCGCTGTGTGGGATGGAGTAGGGTCCCTCCAGAAGCAGCGTCTGAGCAGTGAAGCTGCACTGACGAGGTTCGCTCCTGCTCGGTGCACTCCCTGCTACGCTCCCTTCTGTAACTCCTGCTCCTTAGTGCGGTGGAGAGCATGCCCCGAATCGTCTGTGTTAGCAAGTGCACAGATCAGTAGGTCTGTGGGTTTTTAAAAATAATTCTAAAACACTGTTCTGGTTAGAAGACATGCTGCAAATACTTCTGCAGAGCACGCAGTCACCTTTCTCTGGACGGCCGCTCATTCCTGTGTCTTAGGGGTGTGCCTTTCCTCTTGGTTCACTATGCAGTGCTTCCAACCTGCTGGGCCACTCTTGCCGGGTAAGACGCTCACTCTCCAGGAGTGATGGTGCCGATTCCTGACCTCGGCTACCTGTGTGCTTTCACTGGTTCCACAGCCTCATTTGGTCAGCTGTGCTAGCCACATAGACCAACAGAGTGGGTGCCCTGAAGATGTGCTTTTGGCTTCAGAAGAGGTCGTCTCTCTCCCTCTGCCACACCTGCGCCTTGAGGTGCTCGTCTGGGCCAGTGGGGGTTTTTTCTCCTAGCTTTATTGAAATATAATTTTTAATTTTTATGAGTACTTAATAGGTATATTTTTGAGGTATATTGACAAGTAAAAATTGTGTGTGTGTGTATATATATATATACACACACACACACACATCAAGAGCAGGAAAATTGTGCATATTTAAGGTGCACAGTGTGATGATTTGATACAGGTATGTACATCGTGGAATGCTTACCACAATCAAGCTAATGAAGACATCCATCACCTCACACAGCTACCTTTTTCAGTGTGTACAGTGAGAATATGTAAGATTCCTCTCAGCAGATTTCCACTACACCGTACCCTCTTCCTAACTGTACTCACCATGCTGGAATTAGGCCTTCAGAGCTTGCCCATCTTCTGACTACAAGTTTGTTCCCTTTGACTAACATCTCCCCACTCCGCAGCCCCTGGTAACTACCATTCCACTCTCTGCTTCTGTGAGTTTGACTAAAAATTCAGAATCTTTAAACAAGCAAAACAGTTTTTTTAGATGAAAGTAGCCATCATCTGTCCGATTTTTATTTCCGTCTGACGTGTAGATGAGAAGGGTATTTACACATCTGCTTTATGTGTTCCGCCTCCAGAAATGACAGGGGTGGGGCCTGCGGGGAAGCCTCCGTGTGAGAGCAGGTGAAAATCAGCCTGGGCCCACCGTGGGCTTCATCCAGGAGCTGTAAAATGGACCGGAGTCTGGGTCCCACCCTGGGAGATTCTGATGTAATTGGGCTTGGGCTGGGTGGAGCCTGGACACCTGGATGGTAAAAGCTTCCCAGGTGACTCTAATGTGCTTCTAACTTGAGGACCGCCATCAGCGCCAGCCCACTCTTGGATCAGCCAGCGTTTAGTAACTTGCACGCTTTACTTGAGGGGGAAGCCAGTTTGAATTGCTTTGTAATGTAATGGATGTCTTTCTACTTCTCAGTTCTATTCAGGAGGTACTTGAGTACCTACTAGGTACAAGACACTGTTGTTAAATTAGGGGATTTAAGTATGTACGAGATGATTCGGTTCTTGCCTTCAAGAGCTTATAAAAAAGCTAAAAATACGGAAATAACTCTAATGGGAACCACTACAAGCTAAATGTCATTAAAGTGAATCATGCAAATTATGGTAATTGAGAGAAGGGACAGATTGCATTTAATTAGAGGGGATCAAGAAAGTCTTTGAGAAGCTGCCATCTGAGCTGAGTCTGAGAGCTTGGCCTGCAGAGCTGGGGGTGGGTGGACAGGCCAGGTGGAGGGAAGATAATGAGCGCAGATAGAAGGAGAGTGGGCAGATGCCTGCGGTGCCTGTTTTGACCAGAGCCTACGGTGGTGGGGAAGGTAGTGGGAAACAAACCTAGGAGGGAGGGTGGGGCCAGCAATAAAATATCTTTAGCCTGCTCCAGCAGTCTGGGTCCAGCAGTGGGTTGGGAGTTGTTAAAAACTCTTCATGAAGTTTGTGAAGCAGATGTAAATACATCCTGCTATAGCAAAGGGATTGATTTTTCTGTAACAAATTGCTTGAATTGAATATATATAATTATGTTAATGCATTTTAAACTAGAGAAGCCTGTTGCAGGGTAAATGAGTTATAGATATAAAATAAATAAATACTTACTATTGAGAGACAGAGCCTTGCTCTGTCGCCCACGCTGAAGTGCGGTGGTGTGATCACAGCTCACTGCAGCCTCGACCTCCTGGGCTCAAGCAGTCCTCCCACCTCAGCCCCTCAAGTAGCTGGAACTACAGGTGTGGGCGACCACTTGCAGCTAATTAAAAATTTTTTTTTGTAGAGTTGAGGTCTTGCTCTGTTGCTCAGGCTGGTCTTAAACGCCTGGCCTCAAGTGATCATCCTGCCTCAGCCCCAAAGCACTGGGATTATAGGCGTGAACCACTGCGCCGGCTCTATTTTTAATTTTTAATGTTTAAGAGTATGTTTAAATACCTTAATATTTGGAGAGAGAAAATCAGAAAAAAATACATATCATTGGTTTTTTCATCTTTTCAAATAGGTCTTTTATTCAGATGAAGTCCTGGTTGAAGTGTAATATTTGAACAGATAAAAAGGTAGCTGCTCTGGTTTGGTCAGGCTAGTGGGCAGAGAAGGTTCCAGAGCTCTGCTCTTTTAGCCCCAGTTCCACACTAATATTCCTCATAACTTCTATTTGATGCTTCCTGTTGATAAATCCCCAAATGGCATGATTTTGTCTTACTGGGAAGGGAAGGCTGATGTTAACAACTGGAAATTGGACATTGACTTGCCCAGCTCACAAGAACATTAAGACACCTGTTGCCGTGGGAGGCTGGTGGAGATGTGGATGGCGGAGCTCTGCCACTGTGGCAACATCGAGTAATGTCAGTGAGCACCTGCAGAGCGCCAGGTCCCACTGCGGGCGCTGAGCAGCCAGGGCATGTCAGGGCTGTGCTGGGAGAGCCGCAAGAGCCCAGGGTGGGCCTCCGTGTGGACAGGAGTGTGAGGATCTGGGTCCGTGCTCTCCAGTGGTGCTCGGTGGTGATGGCAGTGTCTGTCTCTGTGCTGCCCAGGGTGGCCACTGAGCCCCTGAAATGTGACTGGTGCAGCTGAGGAACAGCGTTTTAAACTTTAACTATTGTGAGTTAAAATTGCCATATGTGGCTGATGGCCGTCCTACAGGACGACTCAGATCAACTCAGGTCGGAGTGAAGGCTGGTGTGACCTGGTCAGTGCAGGGAATGCAGCATGGGAGGGGAAGGGTTTTCCAGCAGCAGGATCTGTGTGCAGCACTAGGGTGAAGGAGAAGTAGCGCAATCCTGTGGGTCTGGAGGGAATTTAGCCTCCCTGGACCTCATGTTTGAACATGGGAATGGGGAGTGTGAAGCCTGGGATGCGCTTGGGGCCAGATTACACAGGGCTTATGGGGAAGGCACAGGGGCCAACATTATCAACTGGGGCTCCGAGGAAAGACAGGCATATCCACCTGGAGGGGCCTCGCATGGAGTTAGATTTTATCCTGAGGGTGTTGATGATTTTCTGCAGGAGTGTAATGTGACCCAACTTAAGTTCTAGAAAAGTGCTTGGGCTGCACCAGGGGATGTGGATTGGAGATGGAGTCTGGATTTAGGAAGGCCATTGTAGAACCACGCGGAGGCAGGACAGTGCCCGTATTGGGAAATGGCTGTAGGTGGCTCATGGAGGAAGCCGGGAGAGGAGAGAGGCTCCAGAGCATAGGTGAGAGCTTGACAAGTGGGAGGAAAAGGTTCAGGGTTCTTGCTGCTTATCTAGGAGGGTGGGGGGTCATTTACTGACAGGAGATACAGGAGCGGGGCACCCTTCTGAGGCAGCGGAAGACTAGGTCTAGTTTGGTGGAGATGTTGAGTTGCAGTTGTAGGTTGGAGGCTTTGCAGGTCTGGGCCAGACATAGAGATTTGAGGACCAAAGGTGTGCTCACAGAAATAAAAGGTCTGCAAATGGATGTCACCAAGGGAGAGTAGCAGGTGAGGACAAGACGGCCTTAGCCTGAACCAGCAGAAAGGTCAGGCTTTTAAGGATGAGCAGAGAAAGAAGGGCAGAGAGATTGTTAGTCAGGGCTCTTTAGAAACAGAACCAATAGCGGGTATCTCACGATCTCTTTTTCTTTTAAGAGATGGGGTCTTGCTGTGTTGACCAAGCTGGTCTTGAACTCCTGGGCTCGAGCCTCCCAAAGTGCTGGAATTACAGATGTGAGCCACCACACCTGGCCACTATCTCTATCTCTACATTATCTATAAACTGTAAGGAATTGGCTTGCTTTCAGGCTGGCAAGTCCAAAATTTGTAGGAAGCCTGGCAGGCTGGAAACTCAGGCAGAATTCCTTCTCGGGGAAATGCATTCCTTCTTGAGGAAATCTCAGTTTTTGTTCTTGAGACCTTCAGCTGACTGGATGAGGCCCAACCACATTATAGAGGGTCATCTTTCCTTAATGTTGACCACATCCACAAAACACCCTCACAGCAACACCTTGGTTAGTGTCTGGTTAAATCACTGGGTGCTGTGCCCTGGCCAAGTTGACACACAAAATTAACTGTCACGGAAGTCAAGAAGGAGTCGCCTGAGAAGAGAAAGAAAACTCTAGAAGCCAGGGGGCCCTGTTAAGTGGCACTGAGAGGTCACACAGGATGAGGGTCAAGAGGTAGCCCTTGGGTTCACCACACAGGGGTGAGCAGCCTTGTGAGAGAAGCTGGGCAGAGGCCAAATCACAGCAGTTGCAGGCCGAAGAGGGGGTGGTTAGAGGAAAGAAGACGTGTGGGTAATCCTTGTAAGAAATTTGCCATTAATTGTTATGTCCCTTCCCATCAGGCGGCCGTTGAGGGCTGGACCTGGAGATTGGCTTGGATTTCTCCTAGGACACCGTTGGGTATCATAACAGCCCGTATTTTAGACACAGATTTGTTCAGACTTCGCTGGGATTGCAGTCCCTGGGTTCAGTTCAGCAGTAAAAAGCTCCAGTTCCTAAGGAAGTAAAACTTTTCAAGAACACAATATAGAAAGAGCAGGGGCTTCTAATAGGGCTGTCCTCTTAACCTGTGGTGGTCTTTGGCATGTAAATAGCAGGGAGAGGGGAAGGCGTGTCTGTGAGCGGTTCTTTACCTTGCACCTGCAGTTACAGAGGATGGCTGATAGGTGGCACTGTGTGTCTGTTAAATGGAGTTAAGAAGAGCGCCTCTTAGTATTACAGGAATGAAAATTTTTGTTATTTTTAATACCGCATTTGATATTAAGCACTTGCTGTTAATATAGATTTTATTTCCAATCTTTCTGACATAAATTTCAGGAGATGAATGGGTTACGTGTGGCGTTTATAATGGTATGTGCTGTGACATTCTTTACCAGCATAAAGACAGGGCCTTTCCATCTGCAGAGGTGGTTTAAAATGGAGATTTTTATTTGGCATCATAAAATATACATTTATCCGGCAAGGTAAGGTTGCGGGCTATTGAGGAATTCAGTCGATATAGTGAACTGAATAAATAGACGGTGGCTGACCCCGGGTGGGAAGCAAGGTGTGCCGTGAGACGGGGTTGAAGGGAGGAGGGTGGTCAGAGGTTCACCGAAGAGAACTTAGACTCTACAGATGAGCAGAGTGCATGATTTCCAATCTAAAATTCATGTTCAATTTAGAAAATTTGAGATTTTCTAAATTGTAAAAAAACACTTTTACAAAGGAGAATTTACTCCTTTGTAGTCGCTGTTTTTGTTTTTTTTTTTTTTGAGACAGAGTTTTCGCTCTTGTCGCCCAGCCTGGAGTGCAGTGGTGTAATCTCCAGTGACTGCAGCCTCTGCCTCCTGGGTTCAAACAATTCTTCAGCCTCAGCCTCCCAAGTAGCTGGGATTACAGGTGCCCGCCACCACGCCTGGCTGATTTTTGTATTTTTAGTAGAGACGGGGTTTCGCCATGTTGGCCAGGCTGGTCTCGAACTCCTGACCTCAGGTGATCTGCCTGCCTCGGCCTCCCGAAGTGCTGGGATTACAAGTGTGAGCCACCGCGCCCGGTTGTCGCTGTTTATGTTATTACTTCATCTTTCCCTTTTATTTTCATGAACTGTAAATAGGTAGATAGATATGTCCTGTTGTATTTATGTTTCATATGCTATGTATTAACAGCATTATGTTGTGAGCCCTTTCTTAAGCGATTGAAATTCTTTAAAAACATGATTTGTAATGAGGCCTGATGCTCCATGCTGTGTCTGTTTCGATACCAACTCTTTTTTCTGTATTTAGGTTTTTGACACTCTTCTAGCTTAGGTCAAGATTTATTGCATTACCAGGACATGTATGCTTTTCTGGCATAATCTGGCATACACTGGAGTCTGTAACTAATGGTGCTTTTTGAGTCAAATGATTGTGATTTGAGAATCTGCTGGCGAGTGAAGCAGATACTTTCTGGCTAAAATGCTGACCTGGCTTAGCCAGTTTTTGAATGCGTTTGGATTTCCAGTTGCAGTTCTGAGTGGGCTGTGGGAGGGAATGACTGTGGGCTGGTGTCCAGAAAGTGTCCAGAAGACTGCTGACCGCCAGAACGTCATCCAGGAGATCTGCTGATTTCTCACACTGTATCAAAAGTGATAAGGGATCACTTTGTTTTCTGAATTAAGTGTTTTTTTTTTTAGAATCGATCATATTGGATTTTGGCTTTTGTGGGAAGCGTTTTGAGCAGTATTATTTTTAGTTTGTCGTGGTTAAGAGTATAGGCGTCAGGGCCAAGCCGCGTGGGTCTCCACGTGGGCTGAGCCGCTTCCTAGCATCGTGACTGCACTCATTCCCCAGCCCCTGCGTCCTCAGGTGCAGGATGGGCCAGGCGTAAGCGTCTCATGGAATTATTAGGTCACCCTTACACAGGCTGAAGTGTAGTGCTTGATATGTGATAGATATTACTACAGGCATAACTTGGAGATTTTGTGGGTTCAGTTTCGGACCATCCCAGTGAAGTGAATGGTGCAATGAAGTGAGCCACACACACTTTTTGGTTTCCTGGTGCACATGAAGGCTATGTTTGCACTGTATTATGGTTTAAGTGTATAATAGCATTATGTCTAAAAAACCAGTGTACATACCTTCATTTAAAAATATGTTATTGCTAAAATATGCTGATACAGAGACACGAAGTGAGCGTGTGCTTTTGGGAAAATGGCGCTGACAGACCTGCTTGGTGCCGTTTCCTCAAACCTTCAGTTGGTAACAAACACATTATGGGTGAAGTGGAATAAATGCCGTCTTCTAGTGAGGCGTCCTGACCACCCTGCTCTAGACTGCACCTCGGCGCTTTTTCCCACGTCATTTTGCCCAGCCTTGCTTTATTTTTTTCTCCATAACATTCATCTCCTAATTTGCTACATACTTTAGTTATTTATACTTAATAGTTCTGTCTCCCTACCCGAAACACATCTCAAGAGGGCGACCATTTTGATATGTCAGATTCATTGCTGACCCGTGGTGCTTAGAACACTCCTGGCCCATGCGAGGTGCTCAGTAAATGCTGCTGACCTGGTGAACGAGAGGCACGGCAGGCTATGGGGCCTGGGGGCTTTGCGCTCTCACAGAGGAGTCAGGGAAGGAGGGGTTGCCAGGCTGGTGAGGTGGTGAGTGAGGGCTTTCCAGGCACTAGAGACATCCCTCAGAGATGCTCAGAGTCTGCAAGACCACAGAGATGTGGAGGCCGGAGGGCGGGGGTACAGGTTGGGGTGAGACCTGAGGGGCCTTTGTCTGCTGTCTGGGGGGTTTGACTTTAGATTTGAAGACCAACTCTATAATCTTACTGAAAGAAGTATTTCAAAAGATAGGCTCAGTAAATATTTGTTAAACTGCGAAAGTAAACAAACCTTGAGTTCAGAATCTGATTTTAGGAAGTCATGTTAAGCTGGGTGCAGGGGCTCACGCCTCTGTAATCCCATCACTTCGGGAGGCCAAGGCAGAATTGCTTGAGCCCAGGAGTTTGAGACCAGCCTGGGCAACACAGGGAGACCCCATCTATCAAAAAAATTAGCCAGCTGTGGTGGAACGCACCTGTGGTCCCAGCTACTTGGGAGGCTGAGGTGGGAGGATCCCTTGAGCCCAGAAGGTCGAGGCTGCAGTGAGCTGTGATTGCACCACTGCGCTCCAGCCTTAGCGACAAAGGGACACCCTATTTCAAAAAAAAAAAAAGGTTGGTCTGTGCTCTATAAGCAGTGAAATAAAGCAGTGATGTATGCTATTTCTGTCATTACTTTGAAAACAGTATTAGATGAATAGGGCATTTTAAAATGTTTTGTCTGTGCTAGATTCGCTGATGAGAGCTTTCTTTCAGACTGCTGTGTGGGATAATCTGCTTCTTTTCTGTAAGTAAAGGGATTTTATTTTAAAATGTTAAAATGTTATTATTTATGACATCTTTTCTTTATTTCTTAGAAAAATGTTTACTTACTCTTCCTTGTGGAAATTGATTAAGAATGCAGGCCGGCCTTCATGGCTCATGTGTGTAATCCCAGCACTTTAGGGGGCTGAGGAAGGAGGATTGCTTAAGACCAGGAGCTGGAAACCAGCCTGGTTGACATAGCAAGACCCCATCTCTACAAAAGAAAAATTAAAAAAATTAGCTGGATATGGTGGCATGCACCTGTAGTCTCAGCTACTTGGGAGACTGAGGCAGCAGGATTGCTTGAGCCTGGGAGGTGGAGGCTACAGGGAGTTAGGATTGTACCACTGCAGTCCCGCCTGGGTGACAGAGTGAGACCTTGTCTCAAAAAAAAACAAACAAACCAAAAAAACAAAAAAAAGACACTATTAGGCTAAATGTGTATATTTCTGAGGTACAGAATTATTAGAGTAAGCACTGTTGCTTTACTTTGAGATGAGTTGGAAAGAATACATTTATTGGTAATTTCACATATTTCTCTTTTTTTCTGCTTTTTCCTCACTCTGAAGGTGAAACAAGCATAGGTGATAAGAAACCAAAGCAAATGACGCCTGTAAGCCACATTTAAGCCATCAGAGTAATTCTGGATAGTCACTTGAGTTGAAAAATAATAAGCTCAGACAACGTTTTAATCCTCATAAAAGACTAGTTAGAAAACCAATTTTACTTTGATGCAAGCAAGCTAGCTAAAGTTAGAGAAGGGGTACTAAGAAAATGAGTGGGGACAGTCTGTTCTCTCCTGATCCCGCCCCTCAGCTGCTCGGGGGACATCTCCTTGTGTTTAATCTTCCATCAAGACTCCTGCTGAATACATTTTAGGAATGAGAGGCAGACTCTCAACCATGTCATTTTCTCAGAGAAAATTGGATTGTGTGTTGGTAATAACGGTACCTGTCACACTGAGAAATGGTTTGTCGTAGGCATGGCTGAGAGGCTTCAAACCGACTTTGTTGTGGTTTGCTCTCTAATTTATTTCTTATGTTTTCAAGCACCAGGAAAGGGATGCTGACAGTGTGAGGGGCTGTGAAGCCTGCGAAGTTGGGTCTAGGGCTTTTTCCTTTTCCTTGTATAAAGTAACTTTTAGAATGGAAATAACCCTTCCATTAAAGTGTTTCCATTTCATCTGGGCGAGGGGGGAGGTATGCTTTTGTAGTTGAGTGTTAAGACGAGAAAGGTTTTCCTTGGTTTCAGTTACTGTAACACTTAATTTTTGATTTTCTGTTTGTCATGTGCAACATGGTGGTTGGTGGTAAGAATGGGTTCATTTCTTTTCCTCCAAAGGGACTAAGGATCTAGAACCAGAAATACCATTTGACCCAGCAATCCCATTACTGGGTATATACCCAAAGGACTATAAATCATTCTGCTATAAAGACACATGCACACGTATGTTTATTGCAGCACTGTTCATAATAGCAAAGACTTGGAACCAACCCAAATGCCTATCACTGATAGACTGGATAAACAAAATGTGGCACATATACACCATGGAATACTATGAAGCCATAAAAAAGGATGAGTTCATGTCCTTTGCAGGGACGTGGATGAAGCTGGAAACCATCATTCTCAGCAAACTATCACAGGAACAGAAAACCAAACACTGCATGTTCTCACTCGTAAGTGGGAGTTGAACAATGAGAAGACATGGACACAGGGAGGAGAACACCACACATCCGGGCCTGTTGGTGGGCCTGTTAGGGGAGGGAGAGCATTAGGAGAGATACCTAATGTAGATGACGGGTTGGTGGGTGCAGCAAACCACCGTGGCACGTGTATACCTGTGTAACAAACCTGCACGTTCTGCACATGTACCCCAGAACTTAAAGTATAATAATAATTTAAAAAGTAGTAATGCTTCCTCCATTTCCCACTGTGTCAGATGTAGAGGTTTTTACAGCCACTGACCACTTTTTGCTCTATTAGGAGATGGCAAGTCATTTGACGTTGATTGGCCCTCAAGGCCAGGGTTCCACTTCACTGCTTCAGAGTCTTTCTGTTTGTCCTGGGGAGACATGCTGTGTTGATGGGTGTTGTGTGCTGCTGTGGAGGGGAGTCCACATTATAAGAGGGTTGTTGTTGGGTTTTGAAGTATATCCAGAGGAGCATCCCCAGAACAGCAAGAGTTCCTGAAAAGATGACCGGTGAGAAATGGTTGAGGGAAGTAGCATTGTTTGACTTGCGACCTGGCAGGGAGCATGAGGCTGTCTTGGGACATGTGATGGGCAGCTAGACGGTGAGCAGTGCCAAGGAAAGAGAGAAACCAGGGCCAGGTGGGTACCAGATTTCAGCTCAGCACAGGGAGAGCTACTTTACAAATTGGTCTATACAAGGTGGGGTCCGAATTCTGTGTCACAGGAAGGGAGGCAGTGTGGACTGGTGGTTAGAGCGCTGTGCTGAGCACATGGGCTGCGGGGCGGGGGGTGGCGCCCATGTGTGTTGAGTGCGTGGATCCTGCATGGTGGTGAGCATGAGGTCTGCAGGTGTGGATGCCACGTGACCGAGAGCTTCTAGACTGCCAGGTGTGTGTTCTGCCCTGCCTACTGCTTGTTCAGTTGTGTGACTTTGGCAGGTTACTTGATCTCACTGTGCCTCAGCGTCCTTCTCGGCAGAATGGGGATGGGAATAGTACCTGCTTTATCCCATTTTTGGCAAGGTGAAAGGAGTTGGTGTGTGGAATTGCCTTCAGCTGTGTCAGGCAGCGCGTAAGCACTGTGATTGTATTCCATGAAATGACTTCAAGTGATATTCTGGAATCGCGCTCCACATCCAGGCCAGGGCAGCAGATTCCTCACCCGCTGCGGCCTCTAGCCGATTGACTTTTCTATTTTTAAAGTTCCCAGGGATTTTGCCTGGTTTCCTTTGCTTTTTTGCCCTGAGCAGCCGCTGCCTTTTGGGACTCCTGCACATCTCGGGTTAGCTGCAGAGTGGCACACCACTTCCCCAGTGGCCCTCTTTGCTGGTGTACAGGCACCTTTGGTTTTACTGCTCAGCGCTAACTAGGGCAGGGTTTCTTAGCCTTGGTGCTGTTGACATTTCCATTGTAGGATGTTTAGCAGCATCTCTGGCCTCTACCCACAAAGTGCCAGTAGCACCTTCCCACCCCCACCCAGTCCTGACAATCAAAATCATCTCCAGATGTTGCTTAATGTCCCCTGGAGGCACAATTGTCCCTGATTGAGAACCCGCGCACTAGGGAGAAACATTAGGAGGTTACCAGAGTCCAAGGACTTAATCAGAAATTGTCAGTTATTGTTTCTGGTTCTTGAGTTACTTGCTGGAGTCTTTTTTCCCTTACTGACCCCCTTTTATTCCAGAGGGTAGAGCAAGTGAAATGCTCCTCGTTCATTCCACGATGCCTGGGGAGGGCCCCTGCTTACCGAGCGCTGTGTGTAGTGGCGGCTTCAGGGAGGAGTGGACGGACCGGGTGTAGACCTGGCCCTGCTCCAGCCTCTGCATGGCCCAGGGCGGAGAGGGCCAAACAAGAGAACCCACTGTGCTTGTCGCCGTCCTGCCTTCCCTGGGCCGGTGCTGACGTCATTACCCTCTAATTTCCCCTCAGACCTGCGAGCGGCCTGGTGATGTCTTCACAGATGAGGGCGTGGGAGCCCACGGGTGGGGGGTTTGCTGCTTCTTTCAGGCCCCAGCACCAGACAGCGGGGGGAGTGTGAGGCCTTTGGGCATCCCCACCTGGCTCCAGGGAGTAGGCTGGGGTCAGATTGTGAAGGGCTCCGAACGCCCTGTCAGGAAAACGGGGTTTCTACTGCTTTGTCTTCTTAAACGCTTGTCTTCTGCTGGGCTCTGCTCCGGCAGTTCCATAGAGCCTGTCACTTAACACTTGTATGTTCCTTTTAGACTGTATTCCACCCTCCACTCTCGCTCTGGCAGGTCCCCCTTGTCCCCTGAAACTTCTGCTGTCGGCGGCGGGGTGAGGGGAAAGAGTTGCAGCCGGGAGTCGGCCCCATGGGTGGTGCAGGACGGCTTAGGGCCGGGCGGTTCAGGGGCTGCTGAAGTACGAGCCAGCTCCCTCGACCTTGTCCTTGGGAGGCGCCGTCCGGGACAGCTCTGCTCTGGCCGGCCTCCCCCAGGACGTGCCCACACAGGGACCTTTCTAACCGCAGGCTGTAGTTCTTCTGTGGATAGAGATAAAGTTCAGTTCAGTAATTCTAGGCTGAAGCTCAACATGATGAAAATGAGAGCACTTTGCAGCATTAATGTAGAAACAGTATCTGGGCAGAGCTGGCGGGAGACATGTAGGACGGCAGCCTGCCTGGTGGCGCGTGTGCAAGAGACCTCACCAACTCTGCGTTCTTACAGATCCGGAACCCGCTGTGTGTGCCACATCCGTGTAGACAGTGGACGTGGGGATGTATCTGCTGGTAGTTGTCGTGTTCCGAAGCTCAGGCAGGAGCAAAACACGAGTTTTAAACCTGTTATTTGGCCTGGGGCACAGAAGCTCTCGCTTTCTCCCAGAGTCCTCTGTAAAGTGTGTCTGTGTGAAAGAGGACATTTGCCAGTGGGGAGGAGTTGGGCTGGAGGGTGGGGACAACAGGAGTGTATTCAGAGGGCGGAAGGAACAGGGTGGACCGTTACTTTGGGGAGGAGTGAGTAGAGATCAAGGGTTGTTCCTTCTTAAATAGTAAAGGGTTTGTTGAGTTTACTGGTTCACATGAGAATTTCTGAACACAAAGCAAGGCGTGGAACTAGGGTGGGAGCTGGAGTTTGCTTTTAGGAAAGGCCTGGAAGTATAGTGCATATTGTTTTCCTGTTGTCCATAGCAACTATGGGGGATTCAATGTTAAAAATGTTAAAATAAAATTGGGCGACTTGGCTCAATCTTATGTCCTCACACAGTTACAGAACATTGAGAAATGAAGAGTTAGAGACTGTACACATTGGCCAAATGTACACCCTCTTTAGGGCATCTTTCTTCTCATTTAAGTCCCCGATGCCACCTTTTCAGCAAGGCCATTCCTGCCCTCTCAACTCAGAGTGGCCCCTTGCCATCACTTGGTATTATGTTGCTCTGTTTAAAAGGTTCAACTTTGAGATATAATTTATGTAGAGTCAAATGAACCATTTTAAATGTACGGTTTGAAAAGATGTGACAAGTTTACATACTTAACGTGATAATCACCACAGTTAAGGTACAGAAGGGAACCATCGCTGGCAGAAGTTCCTCAGCCCCTGCTCCAGGAAGGCACCCATCTGCTTCCTATCACTGTAGATGGGATTTGACTTCCCGAAGTTTCATATACAGGAGTCCCTTCTTATCCATGGGGCATGCGTCCCAAGACCCCCAGTGGATGGTTGAAACTGTAGATGGTACCACACCCTCTGTATACGATCTTTTTTTCCTGTACATACATACTTTTGATAAAGTTTATAAATTAGGCACAGTAAGAGACTAGCAGCAATAACTAATAATAATATGGATCAGTTATAACAGTGTGTTATACTGAGTGACTCAGGGCAGGTGGCATATACGGTGTGGACATGCTGGACAAAGAGAAGAGACTCGTGCCCTAAGCGGGACAGAGTGGGACAGCTCGAGATTTCATCATGCTTCTCAGAATGGTGCGCAGTTTAAAACCTACAAAGTGTTTATTTCTGGAATTTTCCATTTAATCTTTTCAGACTGTGGCTGACCATGGGTAACTGACACCGTGGAGCGGGAGCCGCAGATAATGGGGGGCTGCTGGAAATGGAGTGCTCCGCGTGTTCTCTGTTTCCGGCTTCCTTCACTCGGTGCTTTTGAGGTGTGCATGTCATTTGACCCTTCTTTCTGCTGGGAGAGCCTCAGCGAGCGGCTGTGCCACAAGTCAGCCGTCCCCTGCTGGTGGACATTTGAGTTGTTTCCAGTCTTAGCTATTACAAAAAACCCTGCTATGAACATTGGAAATGTACTGAGTGTCTGCTGGATATGTTTTATTCTCCTTGGGAAGTACCCAGGAGTGCAGTTGCTTTGTTGTATGGTAAGTTTTTCCAAAGTACTTACAGCATCTACCCTCCCACCAACAGTGTACAAGAGTTGCAGTTGTTCGTCTTAACCCAAACTTGGTGTGTGGTGGATTTAAGCTGTATGATCCTGATGACAAATGTTGTTGACTGTCTTTTCCTGTACTTAGTGGTCATTTGTATATTTTCTTTTGTGAAATGTCCGTTTGAATCTTTTGCCCAATTTTAACTGATTTGTTTATTAAGTGACAACTCAATAGTAAGAGTTCTTCAGATATCCTGGATACAAATTCTTTGTCAGATTTATGTGTTGCAGATTTTTTTGCTAGTCTGTGGCTTGTCTTTTCATATTCTTGGTGGTTTTTGAAGAACAGAAATGTATGGAAGCCCATTTATCAACTTTTTTCTTTTATGGTTCATGCTTTTTTATGTGCTAGCTAAGAAATTTTTGCCTACCACAAAATTACGAAGTTTTTAAAAAATGGTTTTTCAAAGAAATTTTGTACTTTTAGCCCTTACATTTAACTCAGTGATAAATTTTGAGTTAATTTGTGTATATGAAATGAGAAAGTAAATAAATGTTCATCCTCTCACTCCATGGATATCAATTATTCCCACATCATTTGTTGAAGAAGACTGTTATTTCCCTATTGAAGTATCTTGATGACTTTGTCTAAAATCATTTGACCACATATGCATAGCACTGTTTGTATGGTTATGTGAATAAAAGAAATGAATTTATATAATGCCTTTGAAGGAAACTCAAGATCATGTAATACTTCTCAAGTATTATAATAAACATTTATTTTCATACCCTACTGAATAATTTTTTAGTTAAAAAACCTATTACAGAGACATGACAAGTAATTGCACAGTCTTACCCTGCACTGGACTCTGGACTGGAGAGAAAAAAATACCTTAAAGAATATTAATAAATCAAGTAGCAAAATGGGAATAGGAACAGCAGATTAAAGTTTTGTATTAATGTTAAGTTTATGAAGTTGGCAGTTGTACTGTGGTAACGTAAAAGAATGTTCTCAGTTTTAGTAAATACACACTATTTAGTAGTAAAGGGCCATGATGTATATAAGTTACTCTCAGATGCTCCCCGCTCCTAGATGTGTGTGCATGTGGGAGGGGACAGAATAAATGCATGCAAACGATAAATAAAAACACTCTACCAGAAATGTTAACAGTAGGTAAATCTGAATAAAGAGTGTATCACTTTTGCTGAGCTTGAAATTCTTTCTAAATTAAAAAATTATTTATTTTTATGTTTTTGAGATGGAGTTGCCCAGGTTGGAGTGTAATGGTGCCATCTCGGCTCACTGCAACCTCCGCCTCCCAGGTTCAAGCGATTCTCCTGCCTCAGCCTCCTGAGTAGCTGGGATTACAGGTGCATGCCACCATGCCCAGCTAATTTGTGTATTTTTAGTAGAGATGGGGTTTCACCATGTTGGCCAGGCTGGTCTCTAACTCCTGACCTCAGGTGATCCGCCTGCCTCGGCCTCCCAAAGTGCTGAGATTACAGGCATGAGCCGTCACGCCAGACCTAAAAAACTTTTTTTTAAATAAAATGTTTTTTTAAAAAAATCTATTACATTAATTTGTTGGCTTAATATTTGCCTTTTACATAAAAGTGGAATTTAAATGTATTAAAATAGCCATAATAGTGATTTAAAAAAATCTAGGTTGTTAGGCTTACGTTTATTTGAAATAGAAATTTATCTGAAAACTAAATGGCCATTCTAGATGTAATGGTCATTTACCATTTCAAGAAACAAAGTTTTATGATGATGTCGTCTGTTACAAATTCTTTCTTATTGTCTGAAATCCAGCTCTCAGTTTGGCTGGGTAAACTGGCCTTTTTGAAGTTTTCTGAGGATAAATTTTATCTCTCACTATCTTTTTGGTGACCTAGTTTGATTACAGTGGTAAAAATTATTACAGAGCCTTATGCACAAGAGCCCATGTATGTCTTAAGGAGGTGGAGTTACTGTTCAGTTTGGGTATCACTCCAAGGATTTAATGTGAGTCTGATTGTATTTGTTAAGTCCTCTTTTGTATTTGATCTATTTTCTACCACAACAAAGTCAACAGAAAAAGCCTGTAATGCTACCAGATACAGATTATCTACTTCTAGGCCAGAAGTAAATCTGAGAGGATTTAGAGGAAATTAGTACAACCGGTGAGCTCTCATACAGTGGTCGACCTGGTTGGTGAGACCATCTTGTCCACTTGCCATGGCCAAGTGGGGTCCGTTGCTGTCTTATCCACCACCTGCAACTGTGAGTGTCTTAATCGACTCGGTTTAGGGACTTTTGTTTTCTTCAACTTGTCTTTGCTTTGAAGTTTTAATATACATTTATATACAGTATATGCTGGGTAATATAATATACGTTATAACCTGGACTCAGAGCACCCCTCAGTTAGTGTTTTCATTTTTTGCCCTTTTTCTGTCTCTCCTGTTCCACATTCTTCTCATTTGCTGAGTACTTTCTGAGCTCATGATGTTCCTTTCTGAGTTTTCTAACTTCTCCAGAAGCACCTTGATGGCACAGGCCATCCCGAATCTTGCCAGTATTCATGCAGTGTTGTCTTCAGGTTTTATTTGTTGCCTAGTTTTTAAAGTTCACTGTCTGTGGCCACGCTGATGGTGCCCATGCAGAGTGCTGACCGCAAGGAGCTCTATTCCGTGCTGAGCTGGACACTTGGAGCTCCCATGACGTTTCACGGTGAGGAAGCAGGGATTCTGAATCGCAAAGGAGCAGCGCGAATGAGGGCTGTTTGGCCTCCGCCTGTTGCTGGGTTGTGACCTCCCTTCACAGAATCTCTTGAGATGGATGCCACTCCTGAAGTGACTTGGCTCTGTTTTAGGGGCCTGCTCGTGGGGTGGTGTGTGCAGCTCTCCCGGCGCTCAGGAAAAGTGGAGTACAGGGACACCTGAGGGATGATCTGCCATCGGCCAGGGCCCTGCCTGCCTTAGCCCCCGCTGAGAGCTCAGCATAGTCGTAGCTTCCACCTGCAGCTGTCTTCCTGAGCATTTTCTTAAGTGAAAATAAAGATTCAGCCATGAAATGATTTTTGTTTTATTTATTTATTTTTAGTGTAGGAAACAAATAGAATTGCTTTTTAGAAGAAAAATCTGAAATGAATGCATTTAAAACATTCAAATGATTGTTATAAAGATGCAGATCCTCAGAATGACAAAGTATGTGTTTTAAAGTTCCCTGTTTACATTTCTGAACTTTTAGGAATCTCTAGGTTGGGGAGGTTGAGACATCTTCAAGCATCCCAGTGAGCCCCAGCGCCTGGGCTGCAGTCTGCAGTGAGCTCTAGTGCCCGGGCTGTAGTCTGCAGTGAGCTCTAGTGCCCGGGCTGTAGTCTGTAGTGAGCCCCAGCGCCCGGGGCTGTAGTCTGCAGTGAGCTCTAGTGCCCGGGCTGTAGTCTGTAGTGAGCCCCAGCGCCCGGGCTGCAGTCTGTAGTGAGCTCTAGTGCCTGGGCTGCAGTCTGCAGTGAGCTCTAGTGCCCGGGCTGTAGTCTGCAGTGAGCTCTAGTGCCCGGGCTGTAGTCTGTAGTGAGCCCTAGTGCCCGGGGCTGTAGTCTGCAGTGAGCTCTAGTGTCCGGGCTGTAGTGTGTAGTGAGCTCTAGTGCCCGGGCTGTAGTCTGTAGTGAGCCCTAGTGCCCGGGCTGTAGTCTGTAGTGAGCTCTAGTGCCGGGCTGTAGTGTGTAGTGAGCCCCAGCGCCCGGGCTGCAGTCTGTAGTGAGCTCTAGTGCCTGGGCTGTAGTCTGCAGTGAGCCCCAGCGCCCGGGCTGCAGTCTGTAGTGAGCCCCAGCGCCCGGGCTGCAGTCTGTAGTGAGCTCTAGTGCCCGGGCTGTAGTCTGCAGTGAGCCCCAGCACCCGGGCTGTAGTCTGCAGTGAGTTCTAGCGCCCGGGGCTGTAGTCTGCAGTGAGCTCTAGTGCCCGGGGCTGTAGTCTGTAGTGAGCTCTAGTGCCTGGGCTGTAGTCTGCAGTGAGCCCCAGTGTCTGGGCTGTAGTCTGCAGTGAGCTCTAGTGCCTGGGCTGCAGTCTGTAGTGAGCCCCAGCGCCCGGGCTGTAGTCTGCAGTGAGCTCTAGTGCCCGGGCTGTAGTCTGTAGTGAGCTCTAGTGCCTGGGCTGTAGTCTGCAGTGAGCCCCAGTGTCCGGGCTGCAGTCTGCAGTGAGCTCTAGTGCCCGGGCTGTAGTCTGCAGTGAGCTCTAGTGCCCGGGCTGTAGTCTGCAGTGAGCCCCAGTGTCCGGGCTGTAGTCTGCAGTGAGCCCCAGTGTCCGGGCTGTAGTCTGTAGTGAGCTCTAGTGCCCGGGGCTGCAGTCTGTAGTGAGCTCTAGTGCCCGGGCTGTAGTCTGTAGTGAGCCCCAGTGTCCGGGCTGTAGTCTGCAGTGAGCTCTAGTGCCCGGGGCTGCAGTCCGCTCCGCAGGGCTCACCGTGATGTTTTCTTCGCGTCTGTAGCTCAGTGTCTTTAACACAGCAACTGCCTGCTGAATGCAGTGGGATGTTTGCTGCCCATCACAGGGATGTTTAGGCTGTTGAAGTTTGTCCTTCAATTACTGAAGGAAGAAAGGAATTCAAAATGAGAACCCAGCATCCTTTCATAAACTCGTTGAACAATTAACTGTATTTTGCCTGAAGATCAGGCAGCTGGGCTTCAGCTCTCCTATTTGTCTGTCCTTAGAAACCCACACCCCTGCCCCCTCCTGCCTGCTTGCCTTTTAGTGTGGAAAATTTGAAACAGGCAGGAAAGTATATCCAATATACACGGATGAAGTAGCTGAAGGAATCTGGGTGAGGAGAAGTCAGGGCGGCAGAAGAGCGCAGCAGGGTCAGATGAGGACAGAGCCCGTGCACACAGTTCTGTGGTCGCACCTAGCTGTGGGAGAGGCCCCTCGTGGCTCTGAGCTGCTCAGCAGACACAGGGCCCCTGGGACATATGATTAAGGCCAGTGGGTTTTCCGAAGAGGCCCAGCTTTTTCTGACACTGAGACCTGAGAGAAATTTCTTCTTTAGACCCTCACTAGGAATACCTCCTTCACCCATCCCTACAGTGGATAATGATGCGCGTTTCTTCCCGCCGTGTCTTCTAATGGCTCGCGGTGCAAGTTCAGAGGGTGAACAGTCTTGTGAGTGAATACTGAAGGAATGCTGAGCAGACAGGGAGCACTCCCCTGGGACTTTTGGATCCAGTGATAGAATTTAGGAGACTTAGAGGTGTGAATGGACTATGTACCTCTCAGATTATCCTTCAGAATAACAATAGCTCAGAACGTGGAGATGAGGCAGCAGGTGTGCCCACGGTGCTGTGTTGGCCATTGGGTGTTACAGTAAGAAGCAGACCCGCGTCTTCGACAGTCGTCTTGGGAAGGATGAGCTCACCAAGTCTGGGGTGACAGTCAGGGAACCTGGCCCTGTGGCCCCTCTCCTACACTGCGGTGGGCCAAGGGACAGCTCTCAGACACCCCAGGCTTCCTTGGGGCACTGTTTGGGATCCCCTGACATATGGGCTGTTAGGAGACCAAGGCTGCAGCATTCCCTGCCAGAGAGCGAGGCTGGAGGAATCTTAGCCTGGAAAAGTTTTAAAGGAGTTGTCTGTGGTGGGCTTTAAAAAAGCAAATGAAAAACAATAGCAAAAGAACAAAAAAACAAACCCCAAAACCTCAGCAAAAGCGCCCTTAGAAATGTCTAATTCCAAGCACTGACCCATCCTTGTTCTTCCCCAGTCCTCACTTAATTCTTAATTGGATATAAGCCAGGGTCTGTCTCTCCAGAATATCATCGGCCAGCGTGGCCAATCATGAGAGAGCAGGACCAGGGGTCAGTTGAGGCTTATTCTAAGATGAGATGATCAAAATACCAACATGCTTTTAAGTTATGATTCTTGATATTATGGTAACTAGGTATGCAGTGTGTCTGAAAGAGTCACCAGGCCACAAGACCCATCTGAAGGAAGCCAGGGATCAGAATATAACCCTGTTTACGTGATTTCCAGCTGCCACCCCCCCGTAGCTGCAGCTGTGGTTGATGGTCCCTAGACTCTGACAGGAGCCAGGCGCTCTCAGGTTGGTCATGAGAGATTTCTCCACAGGGTCACAGAGGACAACAGTGATTATTCATGATGCTGATCCTGGGGCAGGATGTTGGCTTGAAAACTAGACTTAAAATGGGTCAAGAAGGCAGGTGCCCAGTGACCTCATGGTCTCCCTGTGGCGAGGGGCGTCAGGGGGCTGCCTCTCGAGAAATGGACGTGACAGCGGTTTCCTTGGTTGGCCACGCCGACAGAGTTTTGAGAAAGCAAACAAGTACATAGCAGTGAAACCCCCAGATGAGGACAGACTGCAGAGTTCTCAGGGCAGAAGACCATTGCCAGGTATTTTATTCAGTGTGTTCATGATCAGATAGTCCCCGTAAGGCATGGGTACCCTTTAGGGGGTCTGCTATGCTCAGGGCTGTTCCCTGTGAGTAGAAGTGTGGGGCCGACACCAAGGAACGGGGTGGGGTGGGGGTTCCGGAGGATCGCTTCACTGCTGCAGAGAGCCCTGAAGGGTGGCCTCAGAACCGCCCTGGTTCCCAGCCCTGAAGGCCAAGCCCAGATCCTCCCTTAACAATATATTAGCCTTGACCTTGAAGCTGATAACAAAATATTGTGGCACAGTTTTGTGAGGCTCTGTCCCTGGCCAAGCCACTGTAGAAGGTTTAGCCCAGGGGTGTCCAACCTTTTGGTGTCCCTGGGCCAGAAACTCTTGGGCCACACATAAAATACACTAGCACTAATGACAGTTGACAAGCTAATAAAAAGGTCCTGTGCATAATGTTTTTGGTATTCACCACTGTGGATAAGCAAAACACTTGTTGCAGTGAAAGGGTTGGACATGGCTTCTTTAGCCCCTGACAGTCTTTCACCTTAGCAACTGGAGCAGCTACAGCATGTTACATGATTTATCTAACATCTGCTGCTGGCAGGTAATCAGAGGTGAAATTTCTCTATACAGACACTCGGTAGAATTGGAGCAGATCCCAGGTGGAAGACGAGGTCACTGGTGGCTTCTCCAGGTGAAAGGCCAGATCCCTGGTGGCTTCTCCAGGTGGAAGACCAGGTCACTGGTGGCACTCCCAGGTGGAAGGCCAGATCACTGGTCACTTCTCCAGGTGGAAGGCCAGCTTCTTCAGGTGGAAGGCCAGATCACTGGTCGCTTCTCCAGGTGGAAGGCCAGCTTCTCCAGGTAGAAGGTCAGATCACTGGTGGCTTCTCCAGGTAGAAGGTCAGATCACTGGTCACTTCTCCAGGTAGAAGGCCAGATCTCTGGTCACTTCTCCAGGTGGAAGGCCAGCTTCTCCAGGTGGAAGACCAGATCACTGGTGGCTTCTCCAGGTAGAAGTTCAGATCACTGGTGGCTTCTCCAGATAGAAGTTCAGATCACTGGTGGCTTCTCCAGGTAGAAGTTCAGATCACTGGTGGCTTCTCCAGGTAGAAGGCCAGATCACTGGTCACTTCTCCAGGTGGAAGGCCAGCTTCTCCAGGTGGAAGGCCAGATCACTGGTGGCTTCTCCAGGTAGAAGTTCAGATCACTGGTGGCTTCTCCAGGTAGGAGGCCAGATCACTGGTGGCTTCTCCAGGTAGAAGGCCAGATCACTGGTCACTTCTCCAGGTAGAAGGCCAGATCACTGTGGCTTCCCCAAATGGAAGGCCGGATCACTGGTGGCTTCCTGTGGCTTCTGCCCCGTTTCATTCTTCCTGCTCTGACTTCACCATCTCTAATCCTGAGTCCACGTGGGTGCTGTCACAGCAGTTCTAGGAGCTGGCATGAGAGAAAAATGATCCCTTTGTAGTCAGTCCTGGCTGTCTTTCCCCAGAACAGCAGTAAGCAGGAACAGACTACTCTCATATCATATAACTTAGAACCTGGGTTGCTAGGGACAGAAAAGTGCATTTTTTTTTCCGTGCTGATTCCCTGTGACTTCTGCTTACCTGTAAACTTGTTGAGGGACTCACTGTTCACACACTCAGAGCTGACTGGGAGGAGTGCCTGAAAGCAGAGAGCTCTGTAGTTGCTCAGGAACTCGGGAAGAGCTAACATATTTAGAGGGTCTTAAAGGAAATAGGGCTTTTTGACTCCTTGAAGGATTAATTTCCTTATGTAGTTTTCACATAAGGTGTTTTCTCTAAGAAAGTTCAATCAGGAGATACACTAGTCCCCCTTGTCAGTGAGGATATGATTCAAGACCTCCAGTGGGTGCCTGAAACTGCAAATAGTACCGAATCCTATATATACTGTGTTTTTTCTTGTACATACATACCTATGATAAAGTTTAATTTAGAAATTAGGCACAGTAAGAGACTTCTGAACAGCAGTAACTACTAAAGTAGAATAATTATTGTAACAATATACTGTAGGAAAAGTTATATAAATGTGGTCTCTCTCTGTCTGTCTAAAAATACCTTTCTGTACCATACTCACCCTTCCTCATCTTGTGAGGGTGTGAGATGATGCAGTGCCCCATGGTGAGAGGGCGAGAGGTGAGTGACGTAGGTGAGGCCACTGTGGCCTCTGACATACATCAGAAGAGGACCAGCTGCTCGGGTGACCTGGGCCGTCAAACCATGAGGATGTCAGTGGCTGCAGGTCAGGAGCTGACGGTATGGATGACTGACAGGTGGGCAGGGTTGACAACGCGGAGATGCTGGACAGAGGGCTGGTTCGGGTTCTGGGCAGGCGGAGCGGGACAGGCGAGTGCTTCCCCTTCCTCAGCCCCCCACCGAGCTTCTGGGGTGGCCACCGAGCGAGTCTTGGCCCTGGAGGGCAGTGCTGGCTGGGTGGCTCATCTGAGAATGTTCCTTCCGGTAACTTGGATGCTTTCTTCCCAAGATTGTCCTTCTGAGAAGCTTCAAGCACCCATTAGAAGACTTTCCCCCAGTGATGGTTAAGGCGGACCAGGGGAGAGCTGGTGTTATTTTGGCTCAAGTCAGCTGGACAGTTTCTGTTGTTTGTTTTGGCTTCCTGGTCTATGTGAGGGGTTGGCAGGGGGAGCATGAGGGAGCAGGATCGCCTTGTTTTTGCTTTGCTGTAATTGAGGAAAGGATTAAGGAGCCATCTGTGGCACATTGTTGTCTCCATAAAAAAAAAATCTACACTTTTCCAATAGCATTAAGTTTGCTTTTGTTCGCATCTTTCATAGGGCCGATGTGTCGTGCCCACAAGCGATTGGACCTGTGGGAGTTCTGTTGTGGGTGGTTCCCGGAACTGTGGGCGGGCGGTTTTACCCAGGGCTCCCTCTGCTTTGTGTCTTGTAGAATGTCGTACTCTCAGGAGGCTCCACCATGTTCAGGGATTTCGGACGCCGACTGCAGAGGGATTTGAAGAGAGTGGTGGATGCTAGGCTGAGGCTCAGCGAGGAGCTCAGCGGCGGGAGGATCAAGGTAGGAGCCAGAGGCCTCCACGCAGTGCCTGGGGCTATTGCCCCAGGCCTGACCGGGGCCCTCCTGACACAGAGCCGAAGGAGCTTGTCTGGGCCGCGTAAAATAAAAACAAGTGTTCATCGCTTTCTGAGCTGCATTGTGACATGACCATGGAGGTTTGCTGCCTGAGGTCCTTCCAGGCTGGTAGTTCAGACTGATGGTCCTGGTGACACAGCAACGGCAGCTTCACACTCTCCCTGGCCATGCCTGCCAGCAGTTTCCTTTTGTGTCGTAAGAGATCAGGCATGGGGTATAATGACCAGTGTCCCAAGGAGATGGGACTAATTTATGGTGAGGATCTTTCATGTCCTTCGGAAATGTTCTCATTAAATGAAAATAACTAATGTTAGCAGGGAGTTACAAGGCGTTCCTCCAAGATAGTAATTCTTAAGTAGCTGGTGATCACTGTGGGCTTCTAACCAAGAGTGGGCTTCGATAGGGGCAGTGGGCGCAAGGAAGAGATCCCACGAGTCCACTGTTGGAAGAGCACAGTTTCTTTTCTTTTTTTTCTTTTTTCTTGAGACAGAGTCTCTCTCTGTCGCCCAGGCTGGAGTGCAGTGGTGAGATCTCGGCTCATAGCAAGCTCTGCCTCCTGGGTTCACACCATTCTCCTGCCTCAGCCTATTGAGTAGCTGGGACTACAGGTGCCCGCCACCAAGCCCGGCTAATTTTTTGTATTTTTAGTAGAGATGGGGTTTCACCGTGTTAGCCAGGATGGTCTCGATCTCCTGACCTTGTGATCCATGCGCCTCGGCCTCCCAAAGTGCTGGGATTACAGGTGCGAGCTACCACGCCCGGCCAGAAAAGCACAGTTTCTTTTATTATTTTGAGGATGGTTAATCTTATTTGGGATGATCTCTACAGTGCCAGAACATCTGATATGTTAGGTTAAAAAAAAAAAAGCAGTGGGGTTAATTGCTTGGATTTTGTGCTTTTGAACTTTAGCGCTTTGAGCCTTGTGAGAGGGAGGTGCTGCTTGCCGGGTGCACTGTGTTCCTTTGAGCGCTGGGGGCTGGGATTCTGGTAGGTCTTAGGGGGATTTGGCAGCAGGGGCGGAGAGTCACTGAGTGCTGGGTGTGAGGTGGTGCTCGTGCCATAAGAGGAGGGCGGCCCTGGGTGCAGCTGTGGTCTCGTCAGCCGGGGGATGATTAGATCACATGTGTCTGTGGGTGTGGGGTAAGTGAGAGCTGCTTTCTCTTCCAGCCGAAGCCTGTGGAGGTCCAGGTGGTCACGCATCACATGCAGCGCTACGCCGTGTGGTTCGGAGGCTCCATGCTGGCCTCGACTGTAAGTCCCTCTCTCGAGGGCTCTGTGTCTCCATTCCTGTGCTCTCGGTTGAGTTTGGGTAAATACTGTCTACGAAGGTGAAATAGTGTGTGCCCTAATCGTGTGGCTCTAAACAGACCATTCTGTAAGATATAAATTATATCTTTTTTGTTTTTTCGAGATGGAGTCTCACTCTGTCGCCCAGGCTGGAGTTTAATGGTGCGATCTCAGCTCACTGCAACCTCCGCCTCCCGGGTTTAAGCAATTCTCCAGCCTCAGCCTCCTGAGTAGCTGGGACTACAGGCGTTCACCACCATGCCCGGCTCATTTTTTTTTGTTGTATTTTTAGTAAAGATGGGGTTTTGCTGTGTTGGCCAGGCTGGTCTCAAACTCCTGACCTCAGGTGATCCACCCCCCTGCCTTGGCCTCGCAAAGTGCTGCAATTACAGGTGTGAGCCTCTGTGCCCGGCCCGATATAAACTATATCTTAATAATCACACAACACATTTATCACGTGTCCTTGCTAATTAGGGGTTACAGAAAACATGGTAAGTGGCATCCAAAAATAATCTAAAAAAGTCCTGCATTAATCATTAATTCCAGTGACTTTTCCAAATAATTATTACTTTTCCCCCTCACATTTGTGAATAGCTCACACATTGTTAGTGGGGGACCGGCATTTGGTTGGTCCTAAGAAGATACAGGCTGATGAAATTTCTAAAAAGTGAAATAACTCCCCATTTAGTAGTTTAGTACATCAGAGAGGTAAAATCTTGCAGCAGCGGTCCTGGGAGGGAGGGTGGAGGCCGGGATGAGGAGAGTGTCTTGCCTGCTTGGTAGCTGGTTCCCTTGACTTTCTTCTGAAATGAGTGTCTTTCTGTCTGCCTGTTGCCTCTCGTAGCCCGAGTTCTTTCAGGTCTGCCACACCAAGAAGGACTATGAAGAGTACGGGCCCAGCATCTGCCGCCACAACCCCGTCTTTGGAGTCATGTCCTAGTGTCTGCCTGAACGCGTCGTTCGATGGTGTCACGTTGGGGAACAAGTGTCCTTCAGAACCCAGAGAAGGCCGCCGTTCTGTAAATAGCGACGTCGGTGTTGCTGCCCAGCAGCGTGCTTGCATTGCCGGTGCATGAGGCGCGGCGCGGGCCCTTCAGTAAAAGCCATTTATCCGTGTGCCGACCGCTGTCTGCCAGCCTCCTCCTTCTCCCGCCCTCCTCACCCTCGCTCTCCCTCCTCCTCCTCCTCCGAGCTGCTAGCTGACAAATACAATTCTGAAGGAATCCAAATGTGACTTTGAAAATTGTTAGAGAAAACAACATTAGAAAATGGCGCAAAATCGTTAGGTCCCAGGAGAGAATGTGGGGGCGCAAACCCTTTTCCTCCCAGCCTATTTTTGTAAATAAAATGTTTAAACTTGAAATACAAATCGATGTTTATATTTCCTATCATTTTGTATTTTATGGTATTTGGTACAACTGGCTGATACTAAGCACGAATAGATATTGATGTTATGGAGTGCTGTAATCCAAAGTTTTTAATTGTGAGGCATGTTCTGATATGTTTATAGGCAAACAAATAAAACAGCAAACTTTTTTGCCACATGTTTGCTAGAAAATGATTATACTTTATTGGAGTGACATGAAGTTTGAACACTAAACAGTAATGTATGAGAATTACTACAGATACATGTATCTTTTAGTTTTTTTTGTTTGAACTTTCTGGAGCTGTTTTATAGAAGATGATGGTTTGTTGTCGGTGAGTGTTGGATGAAATACTTCCTTGCACCATTGTAATAAAAGCTGTTAGAATATTTGTAAATATCTTTCTGCTGTAGTGTGGTGGTCTGTTGGTTTTCTCCCTGTCGCTGTGCCTCCTTTAAAGAATATTGACATTGTTTTACATCATTGGAGAATTTGATTAATACTCAGCTTGTGGGAGGAAATGTCTTTTCGCGAATGGTGTGGGCTGCCTGCCCCGCAGTGACCACTCCATCGCTGGGGGTATCGTGGGTCTGGATAACCCGTCAGAGATGGTTTTTGAATCTGGGGTATAGTGGGAAGGAGTGCCTAATGATTTCTGATGTTCCTTCCTAGAAGTTCAGGATTCATGACTGTAAGCTTTCAGTAACTACTCTGATGTTTGCTGAATGGACTGCTAGCTTGAAAGGTAATTTGCTCAATTAATAGATTTAGGTTGATTTCACTCTTCATATTATTCTTATAATTATGTTACTTTAAAAATTGTTATTTATGGTATTTCTTCTAAGTTGTGAAGTATGTTTTTTTTTTGTTCTGTTTTAAAATTTTTTCCTTAGTTTCACTCTCAAAGGAGGTGAATGAAATATGTTTTGTTCTCAGAAAATTTGCCTTCATAAAGAAACGTAGCCAGGTGCAGTGGTGTGCGCCTGAAGTCCCAGCTCCTCAGAAGGCTGAGGCAGGAGGATCACTTGAGTCCAGGAGGTCAAGGCTGCAGTAAGCTAGGATTGAGCCACTGTATTGCAGCCTGGGTGACAGAGTGAGACTCCATGTCTTAAATAAAACAAAAACAAGAAAAAAAAAGTTATGTTATTATTTGAGTTTAGAAATAAGTTTAATATTGAACTCAGTATGGTGAAATCTGAGTTTACCAACCTCAGTTGACCGAATCTCTGATACTGTCACTGTGCTAGGCCCTCAGTCTCCCCAGTCAAGAGTCTGGTACCACCTGGTTCTCCCCTCATCCGTAGTGTTTCTCTGCATTCCCTTGGGGGATTTGCTGCTTCTCGGGATTGCTGTACCGTTGGCTTCTCATGATCTTCCAGCCATTTTATTGCATCAAGTTCCCGGTTGGTCTGCCTGCCTTCAGTCACACCTTTGCACCCTGAACGTGGCAGCGAGAGCCGTTCCTTCTAACGCCATTTTCCTCTTAGTTCTGTGCTATTCAGGGACCTACCTGATACTCCCATCTCCACCCTGCCCCGCCCGATTCAGCATGCTTTGCACATCTCACAGTGGGCACCGTCATTCCCACCTCTGCTCTGCATCTGTGCGTTGGCAGGTGCTTTGTTGCGCCTTCTCCAAACCCTGGGAATAACACCACTCTGTATGTCAGTGCTGTGGCAGCCTGGCTAAGCTAGAGCTGTATGAGCTGTCCTTCCACCACAGGATACCCAAAGCTTCCCTGTGCCTTCTTTGGTACAAGATTAGCTTTGAGATTGTACTTCTGTTTGTCAACTTAAAGAACTGTGGGAGAATATATATATATATATTTTTTTTTTAAATTTTTTTTTTAAGATGGAGTTTTGCTCTTGTCCCCCAGGCTGGAGTGCAATGGCGCAATCTTGGCTCACCACAACCTCTGCCTCCCGGGTTCAAGCGATTCTCCTGCCTCAGCCTCCTAAGTAGCTGGGATTACAGGCGTGCACCACCATGCCCGGCTAATTTTGTATTTTTAGTAGAGATGAAGTTTCTCCATGTTGGTCAGGCTGGTCTCAAACTCCCCACCTCGGGTGATCTGCCCGCCTTGGCCTACCAAAGTGCTGGGATTACAGGCGTGAGCCACCGTGCCAGGCCGAGAACATTTTGTTTTAAACCTACATTGACAGGACAGAATGATCCATTACAATGTGACAGGTATGATGCTGTGGTTCTCAACCCTGGGCAAGACCCATCCCAAATTAAGAGAATCAGAATAGGAGCCCCAGGGAAGGCATCCAATTTTTGCTTTTTGTTTTTAAACTCCTTAGGCAATGCCAGCGTAGCTGGATCTGAAAGGCTTATGAGCAGAAGGAAGGGTTTTTGACTCAAAAAGATCTGAATACCAATTCTGGCTGTTCCTCAAGCAAATGAGATCCTATTTTCTGTTTGCTCATCTGTGGGAGAATTGTAATGGTCCTTTTCCTGTTAATAGAGGTGAGTTATCATTTTTTGTTTATTCAGTGAGCCTGGCAGATACTATAGATAGAAATGAACTGTGATGGTCATGTGCACCCGTCATTTTATAAGGAAGAAAAATGTTTACAGTTAGTAAATTTGATAAAATCTGCACATACCTTTTGTTCAGGTTGAATGAGTTAGATCATAATATAGAAATGAGTTAAGTATTCCTAGAGTTGATGGGTAAAATCGACCTCCTATGACAAAACTACAACTCCAGGTGAGCAGTTTTCTGTAAAAAATATTTCATCAAATACACTCGTTAAATTCTAAAATTATAAGTCTACAGTCTTTAGGACTATTAAACCTTTTAATAGTGCAGGAGCCAGGTGTGGTGGTGAGTACCTGTAGTCTCAGCTACTGGGTAGGTGGAGGTGGTAGAATCCATTGAGCCCGGGAGCTCAAGGCTGCAGGAGCCAGGGTCATGCCACACACTCCAGCCTGGGCAACAGAGTGAGACCTTCTTAAAAAGTGCAGGAAGTTGCTTTGCCCTATTCAACAGATTTAGACATAAACTCAGCTTTACGATGGTGAGAATATGATACGAACGGCCTTAACTTAAAAAAAAAATCTGGCAACTAGTATGTGAATATTTAACAAACATTACCTTTCTAAGATGATATGACCGCTGGCTCAGAGTTGCTCTTTCCAACACACCTGAGGAAACAGCCTCTCACTTCTTTGCGGATATTCATCAGCTGTTCCTGAGGGTTTAACTTCTGTTTCGTGAACTTTTAAGCCAAGATTAGACTAAGTAACATGAAGCTTATGAGTTTGTTTCTGCATATGGTGAGGGTTGGGGAAAAAATGAGAGAAAAGACTCCTGAAGTGGGGTCTGTAGAAGAGGAGCCAATCAGGGCTGCTGAGGACGGGGGAGGTGACCGCATCGCTTACAGAGGGAGGAAGGGTAAACGCAGAAGGCACCTGGTGCTTGCGTTGACCAACTGCAGGTGGGTGGGGGACTCTCTCTGATTGAGTTTCCATTTCCATGTAGCCTAAATTGAGGAGGGAAGAAGGCGAGGCTTTCTTAGGGGTTGGGGTTTGGGTTTTGCCAGGCAAATGTGATGATGGGTGGGGCAGGTGTCCTGGGGGCAGGCAGGTGTAGACGGGGTTTCTCTGCTGCTAACATGAGGGACCACGGACTCCAGGTAGGGTGGGAGCAGAGGGAGATGAGAGATTGGGAGGAATGGAGGCGTCTGAGGACTGGCGGCCCTGGGCTTCAAGGTTAGGAGGTTGTGGTCCTGAAGAACGATACTGATTAAGATTTCAGAGGTGGAGCACCTCTCAGTGATAACAGGGTCATGGAAGTGGTGATTGTGTAGAGTTTAAATTCACTGGAAATGGAAGAATGTAGGGAATTTTGAGAGAAGGGCATTGGATAGGTTGTCTGGTGGGTGCTGGCTCACGCAGGACGCTGTGGGGGTGGAGATGAAAGTAAGACTGGTCCAGCTGCCTGAAGTCGTGCCTCAGTCTCGGGGGTGGCAAGGAGCTGAGCATTGACCGTGAGCTGGGCACTGCGCCGAGAGTCACCCCACGTTGGGAGTGATGCTGTGTAGCCTCCTTTCACCTGAACCGAACCCTATGAAGTTGGTATTGCTACTCCCATTTTCCAGACAGGAAACCTGTGGCTGAAAGAAATTCAACAACATGCCAAAACCACACAGCCAGGACACCGAGAAGTCATATTGAATCTATTTTCTCCAGTCTTGTAGAAGTAGGTCATAGCAACTGGTGAGAGACCGGGTGGTAAAACCCAGTGATAGGAATCTGCAGCATGACTTCATCAGATAGTAGAGTAGAAAGAGTTTGGAAATGGCCATGGGGAGCTGGAAATCCCCCTCGAATCCAGATCCCTTGGTATGTAACGTGTTCCAGGAAGCTACTGATGCGGGATGTTTAGATGTAAAATTATTTTCATTTTTGTTCACAGCGCTTTGTTAATACATGTCTTATCAGGTGCACTGGCTTTATGTTACAAGGCAAATACAAGATGGTTGTTAATCTGAGTGCTTAGAACCATAATTAGCCCCTAGTAAGTGTTCAATAAATTCTAGCCATTATTATTATTCTGTTACAAAGCAGTTGCTGTGTCTTAAGAGCTCTACTTATCAAAATTGTGTTTAAAAAATTTTCAGCATAGGAAAAGGGAATTTTAGATTCATGAACTGTATTGCCTTTAGGAATTCCATTAAGAAAGGGTTAGAAAAAAGATACTAGTATGTAGTTGTAGAATGCAGACTCACGGGGCTTTTCTTACCACTGTAGCTGATATGATTGAATCACTTTTATCGTCCATCTAAGGAAAAGGAAGCCACTTGGAGCCCTGGGTTGCCTGCATGGCAGCTGTCTCCCCACTAGGCTCCAGACCAAGTCATCCCATCTGAGCCACATGAGGATGTCTCTGTTTTGGGCTGTGCATGTTCCATAGCCTTGCCACTTGGGGGCAGTATGGTGGAAGGTGCCCTGAGTGGCCCCCCTGGAGGTGTTTGTTCCCTTCCCTGGAGTGCTCTTGCCTGTCCGGGATGTTCACCCTCCTCTGCTGCTGCCCCTCTGTGTGTAGAAGACAGCCCCTCCTTTACCAATGCACCAATGACACCTGTGTCCCTCGCTGGACTGACGTCCTGGAACATGGGGGCCGTATGGTGCTTATCTTGGGAACCCCCGAGGCCTTCACAAGGTCTGGTAGGTGCCCCGTAGACACTTAACTAAGCTCCTATCCGACAAGAAGAAGGCATCACTGGTTTTCCTGGGCTGCGTGTGCTCTGGTGCTGAGACACATTGTGTGTCTGGATAACTGTAGGACGGTGAGCACCCAGGATGTAGCTATCGTTACCTTAAGAGTTTAATGGTATCATAAAATCTAACTCTTGGGCATGGACTTCAGGAGGGTTTTGGGAACCTGAAGAGTAGAGGATCAAGCTTGTCTAAGGCTGCCGCCTGCCTGCGTCTGCTGTGCCGCCAGCCAGAGGCCGGTGGAGCAATCACCCTGCAGAATCCTTGAAGATGTGCCTGTGTTTTATGGCAGTCGTAGCTCATTCCACAGCTTTACTCATATGAATAATGAGCTCTCGTGTGACTGAAGTGCAGATCGTTCGGTGATTAATTCGTTCTTTATGATCCCTCCTTTATATCTCATTTGTAGAAATTACGATTGTGCCAGACAGGCTTGTGGGGTTAATCAAGTGCAAAGCTTATTGAAAACCACAAGAGAGGCCCATTAAGAATATTTATCTATTAAATAATTCTTTACTTAATTGAATAATATTTCATAATGTTTCTTTTAAAAGTATCTGTCACCCTTGTTAAATAGAAATATAACTTGATTGGCAAAATAATTGCATGGGGTTCTAATTGGCAATTACTTCAATTTCACTTGGTCAGACAGAAATAAATCTTTTTAAAAAGAGGAAAAGAAACTATAGCTTGATCTTAGTATCACTGTGAAAGTTTTTTTTTTTTTTAGTTTTAAAATATTAGCTCCTTTTACCCTATATTGGTTTCTTAAAAGTAAGCCGTGGCTCATTCTCTGCAGGTTGACTTCTCAGCTTTGATTTTTTCATTTTTAGTTTTGACTGCCGTGGATTATTTTTTCTGTGTGCGTGTGTATGTGTGTATAATCATATATGTATATAGTTGTTAATGTCATATTGTTGCTAGGAATTTCAAGTTTTTAAATGTTTTAATCAGTAAGAAAGAACACAGCTTTAAATTATTAAAAAAATAATTATAAACCTAAGGGTTTATGATGTCAAGCAAAATTTGTTTGTTTATTGAGACGAGGTCTTGCTCTGTCGCCCAGGCTGGAGTGTGGTGGTGTGATCATGGCTCATTGTAGCCTCAATCTCCTGGGCCCAAGCGATTCTCCTGCCACAGACTTCGGAGTAGCTGGGACTACAGGCCCAAACCACGATGCCCGGCTAATTTATTTTTTGTAGAGATGGGGTCTTGCTATGTTGCCCAGGTTGGCCTCAAACTCCTGGCCTCAAGTGATCCTCCCACCACAGTCTCCCAAAGTGTTGGGATTACAGGTGTGAGCCACTATGCCTGGCCTGCAAAATTTAAATGGTAGGACATTGGCTGTATTTCTAATATTTAGGGGTCAGATGTACGTTGGCCTTGAGTCATCTTTTTTCTGCTTCTCATTTGTGACTGGCAATAGTGACCATATGATGAGGTGTTTTTGACGTAGTGAGCTGTATGCCATTTTTATAATTGTATTGCAGGAGCTTGGGGGCTTGAGCAGAGAGTGGGGCACCCAGAATCTTGAGTGCAGGCCCTGGCATTGCCATTGGCTGGTCCTCCGTTTTTGCTCACGTCAGTCATTCCGTCTCTGTCTCTTTCCTTCCCTTCACCCAGTGAGACGATGGTAACAAGCAGTAGTGGAGTTCATGGTCCCAGGATCCCACATTTCTGAGCCACTCAGAATGAGAATGTGGTAGAAAGATGAGCTGTGAGGGGCGACTGAGGAAGCTGATGTGAGGGGCTGGACGTGTGGATGTGGAACTGCGGCCACGGCACAGTTCCGGGGCCTTCCATGCACGGAAGGAAAAGCCGTCAGTTATCGAACGCCTGCTCAGCTCTGGGTCGCCTGTTTACCAAGTGCTCGTCGGAGGACACAGTCCTGATGATGTGGAGCTTCCATCCCAGCAGAAGAGAGGGACGTGCGTGGGTTCCAGAGTCATGCTATATCATCACAAACCACAAAGGCCCGTGAGAGGAAGTACAGGGTGCCAGGAAACTCACAGCAGGCCCGGAATGGGGTATGAGCGACGGGTGCGAAGGAGGCGCCGAGGGGAGGTGGAGCTGAGAGCTGCAGGGGACTGGAGGCCGCCAGGCCACGAGGTGGAGGGGCAGCAGTGCAGGAAGAGGCATATATTATTAGGTTGATGGAAAAGTCATTGTGGTTTTTGCAATTATATTTAATGGCAAAACCCGCAATTACTTTTGCACCAGCCTAACAGCTTAAAATGGCTGTTTCTGTAGGTCAGATATAGCAAAATGTCAGCAACGTCTAGTGAGTCACTAAGACAAATGCCTGGAGCAGAAGGAAGCCTGCCTGGCTTTTTAAGAAAGAAGGCCGAGTGTGCGGGATGTTCAAGAAAAGAGGTGAAGTTGTCCACATGGGGCTGGCTATGCATTTTGGTCCTTATCCTAAGAACAAAGTCCTGGGACACATGAAAAGATTTTTTTTTTTTTTGAGACGGAGTCTCGCTCTGTCGCCCAGGCTGGAGTGCAGTGGCGCAATCTCAGCTCACTGCAAGCTCTGCCTGCCGGGTTCCCGCCATTCTCCTGCCTCAGCCCTCCGACTAGCTGGGTCTACAGGCCACCACGCCCGGCTAATTTTTTGTATTTTTAGTAGAGACGGGGTTTCACTGTGTTAGCCAGGAAGGTCTTGATCTCCTGACCTCGTGATCCGCCCGCCCCGGCCTCCAAAGTACTGGGATTACAGGTGTGAGCCACTGTGCCCGGCCATGAAAAGATTTTTAACGGAAGAGTGGGTGCCTGGATATGTGCTGCATAGACACACCTAGAAGGTTTGCCCGAGAGGTGGAGCTTTTCTCTAGAGTCATGGAGCAGACCTGGAGGAGGAGAGGTGAGGTGGGCTGCACAGGCTGTATGGGAATGCTGCTCTTGTGTGAGACAGTCTCGCTCTGTCACCCAGGCTGGTGCAGTGGCGTGACCTCGGTTCCCTGCAACCTCTGCCTCCAGGGTTCAAGAGATTCTTTTGCCTCAGGCTGCCGAGTAGCTGGAACTACAGGCACATGCCACCATGCCCGGCTAATTTTTTATTTTTTATTTTTAGTAGAGACAGGGTTTCACCATGTTGGTCAGGCTGGTCTCAAACTCCTGACCTCAAATGATCCACCTGCCTCGGCCTCCCACAGTGCTGGGATTACAGGCATGAGCCACTGTGCCTGGCCTGCTCTTGTGCTTTCTAACGGCAGCTCCAGAAAGATGGCCTCAGCAAACAGGTCGTATGGTTTGGTAGATACAGCACGGGAGCCATGGAGGAACTGTGTGTCTCCTTCTGGGCAGTTAATAAAGGATGTGAGAAGGGACTCCAGAATCAGAAGGGTAACATACTACAACCTTTAGCTGAAGGAGGGGAATGAGCTTTTTGAGGTTTAGTGTAACAAAATATGTAGCTAGTGGATGTGGCTCGATTTTAGTTTTAAAATGTAAAGTACCAATAAGATCATTTCTCTTGCTAGATTTAGAAGTAGTTTGTCTTCTCTCCCACCCGCAACTCTGCTTTATTTCTTTTGTAGGAAAAAAGCTTCTGTGATTTGTCCAGAACAGGGGTATTTGAGAACTATTAAAGAAGAACTTAGGATATAGCCCAGCATAGAGAAAGAGCTAGACACATAGATACTAATTAGGAATATGCTGGCGGCCGGGCGCGGTGGCTCAAGCCTGTAATCCCAGCACTTTGGGAGGCCGAGACGGGCGGATCACGAGGTCAGGAGATCGAGACCATCCTGGCTAACACGGTGAAACCCCGTCTCTACTAAAAATACAAAAATTAGCCGAGCATGGTGGCGCGCACCTGTAGTCCCAGCTACACGGGAGGCTGAGGCAGGAGAATGGCGTGAACCTGGGAGGCGGAGCTTGCAGTGAGTCGAGATCGCGCCACTGCACTCCAGCCTGGGCGACAGAGCGAAACTCCGTCTCAAAAAAAAAAAAAAAAAAGGAATATGCTGGCTGGAGAAGTAACTTTGTGGGCTCTAAAGGTGCAAATGACTGATATTTTTCACTGACATCTTTTATCTTAATTAGGTTGGTATACTGCACGGGCATTTCTGATTATGCAATCATTTTCTTGAGCTGAATTAGCATGTTTTACATATTTATTCATTAGGTCTTATGTCCATGATAAATTAAACTTTATGGGTAATCAAAACATTATTGCATGATATAATTACAGCTCTCCTGAATTAGAGTTTAAGAATGTGATTGCCACACTCTACGTAACTTAATGTCCCCTAATGGCATAGATTAATAGCATTATAAACTTTCTGGTCATGTGCAGTTCAGGTCCGGGTTGATTTACAGTCAGGTGACTTTTAAAGAGCTGACAGCCCTTGTGCTGAGATTTTATGAACAGCATCGTTTCCCGGGGGAGTGTCCTCTGTAATTTAGTGCTAATCACTAAACCACTAGTAATCATGTGTGTACTAAGTTTATTGTGCCAGTACTCTGAGAAGTTGTATATTTGTGACAGAGTAAAGTAGGTGCTTGAGTTCCCTTGGAAGTGAAATAACAGTAATGTTGATAGGGCTTAGTAACCACACCCAGGGACAGATTTTCAGTTTTTTTTCCCTTTTCTTAAAAATAAAACAAATGATGCATTCACACAAAGAGGTATGCATCTTGAGTGTTTATATATAATTTAATTTAAACTCTACCATTACAGCAGATTGCTCTGGGAAGCCTTGGGCTGTGAACACTGGAATTGCACCTGCTCCATCCTTACCCCCCGGTGATGTGCGTGGCCAGTTTGAATGGACCAGGAACTGGACTTGGTGTCCATTTTCCCCAGTATTAGAGATGGGTTTGTGGGGATGACAGAATTACAGACCGCTAGACTGACAAGTTCACTTCTCCCCACCCTCCCCTTTTACCAGGAGGCGATGACTTGTGATGAGAAAGGGCTGATGGGATTAGAATCCAGTCTGTGTCCATAAGACACAGTCAAGTCCACTGTTACACAGGAGTCAAACCGGTGACCTTGTGGAGGGGAACAACACCGATTACTCGGTCCTGGCCCGGGGGACCATGGCTTCCTATGGAGCAGCCGCTCCTGCCTTCCCTTGGTACAGCAGAGATGTGAAAATCTAGCTCCAAGTCAGATGTGTTTAGGAAACTTTGGGCTAACAAAGGGAAACATTTGTTTCCTCGAGGCTGTGAGAGCTGTCATTAATGTGCTGAGCTGCACTGTGTCCTGAGCAGGAGCCTGCGGGGACTTGGCACAGAGCCTTGGTGCGTCCCACTGCACCTCCAGACCAGACCTCAGAGTCGGGGCCACTGCACCTCCAGACCAGACCTCAGAGTCGGGGCCACTGCACCTCCAGACCAGATCGCAGAGTCGGGGCCACTGCACCTCCAGACCAGACCTCAGGATCGGGGCCACTGCACCTCCAGACCAGATCGCAGAGTCGGGGCCACCGCACCTCCAGACCAGACCGCAGGGTTGGGGCCACCGCACCTCCAGACCAGATCACAGAGTCGGGGCCACTGCACCTCCAGACCAGACCGCAGGGTCGGGGCCACCGCACCTCCAGACCAGAACTCAGAGTCGGTGCTACCGCAGAGTCAGGGCCACTGCATCTCCAGACCAGATCGCAGAGTCAGGGAGCCATCGTATGGGGCTCCCCATGAAGCGCTGCCTTCAGATGGGGCATCTGTGGAGGGACTTGTGTAAGTGGACTGTGTTTAGTGAGAGAGAGAAGCTGGTTTCTAAAAAGGATTTTTTTGTTTTACTTTGGAATATTTTACTGTGGACCAAGGAGAAATGATTATTGTGCTTTTGATGGTCAGTGATACATAAGGAGAATTGAAGTTACAGAGGGTGTTTTGGTACCTAGCAGAAAGATTATAATTAACAAAATGGACTGTTTGGCATTTCTTTTTGTTATTTTTCATTTCTTTTTTATGCTCATACTCATCATCTAAGATAACAGAGAAATTCAATCTACTACTCTCTTCAGAATGCACTTAAGCAGCCTCTTTTAGAAAAGGATATAATTTCCATCTACTGGAATTCCATTTCAAATATAAACAAGACACCCCGGAGGGAAAGGAGTTACAGATGCTGGTGATTCTGACAGCATTAACCAATGGGAGTTGGTAAGTGTGGCTGTGATCACTGTGACGTCAGATTTTCCTTCCCTTCCCTGTTTCTTTTTCTTTCTTTTTTTTTTTTTTGAGACATGGCCTTTCTGTCATCCAGGCTGGAGTGCAGTGGTGCAATCTCAGCTCACTGCAATCTCTGCCTCCCAAGTTCAAGCGTCTCCTGCTTCAGCCTCCCGAGTAGCTGAAATTACAGATGCCCACCACCACACGCGGCTATTTTGTATTTATAGTAGAGACAGGGTTTCACCACGTTGGCCAGGCTGGTCACGAACTCCTGACCTCAAGTGATCCACCTGCCTCGGCCTCCCAAAGTGCTGGGATTACAGGCATGAGCCACCGTGCCCGGCCTCCCTTCCCTTTTTCTCCCCCCCCACATCCTGTTTTCCTTCCCCTTCCCCTTCCTGTTTCCCTTCTCTCTTCGTGGTCTCCCTGTGCTGCCCAGGTTGCTCTCGAACTCAAGTGATTCTCCCGCCTCAGCCTCATAAGTAGCTGGTGCACACGGCTGTGCCCAGCTGAAGTGTCCACTGCTTAGGGAAAACAAACTCCTTCCGTGCATATGATAAAAGTAGATACATTGTGGTATCCGGACTCACCTCTTGTGAGTAGTGGGCATCGTGTTTGTGGACAGAGTTTCTCCGTGTCGTGGCCATTTCGATTCGGAACTCGGGTGACCGCTGCTGTTCCCAGCCTCCTGGGCCGCTGCTTTACTGCGGTGGGGACTCTGGTGGTCTTGCTGCCCCCCCTGGCTATTTTGCTTCATGGCAGCACCTCTTCAGAGAAAGCAGAGGAAAATTAACAATGAAAACGGCTTTCCTTTTAGTTCTGGGAAAAATAATCTGTCATAAAGAAGATAAAACATGGTTGTGTGGGAATAAATGAACGCCGGCCCCGTGAGCGCAGGCAGAGGCTGTTCCCTCCAAGCCCGCTCTGCAAGGGCCTGGGCGCCGTCCTGCCCGCGTGGCGAAGGCTCCTGGGGGCACGGGAGCAGGAGGCATCATGGAGAAGAGGGAAGCTCCGGGGTGCCGAGGGGGTGCTGTAGGCACGCGGAGCTGTAGGCCGGCTCGCCACAGTCAGGCCCTTGTGTGATGGGTCAGGAGAGCACCGTTCTCTGATGGGTCCGAAATTGAAAGCGGTGGCTAAAAGGAGGGCAGCGGGAAGACACCGATCAAGTCCTGAGCATTTGGGGCCGATTGCTGCAGAGGTCACAGTTTCTCCTCCTGGGCTGCAGACTGTGGGTCAGTATTACAGTCTACCGTTGTTTATATCATGTGGTTAATATCAAGCATGCGAGCCTCCCTGTTTCCTGGGAACTGACGGGTACCCTCAATGCTCCTGGTAGATTGTTTATATACAATCTACCATTGTCCATTTGTGTATTCAGTCTCATTTTGAAAAGTGGAAGTTTGAATAAGGTGTGGCCGCTCCATTCTACATTTTTCTGACTCAAAATGCAAAAGTTGAAGGCCTCAATCCTGAATCTGTGCTGTGATACTGCTGTTACTTTACTGAGATAAAACCTTCAATGCCTTTCTACCATATCACACATTTTTCTTTAACAGAATTTAGGTTCCTGATGGTGGCCTTGTGGGTTTGTGAAAAAAGCCTCAAATTAAGGCAGAGGCCTGTGTGCTAATCCTGACTCGCCCCTGACGTGCTCTCTGGTCTGGGTGAAGCATTCCACTGCCTTGGGCCTGAGATGGCTTTTATTTTAATTAATTAAATTATTTGAGATGGAGTCTCACTCTGTTGCCCAGGCTGGAGTGCAGTGGTGCGATCTCGGCTCACTGTAACCTCTGACTCCCGGGTTCCAGCAATTCTCCTGCCTCAGCCTCCTGAGTAGCTGGGATTACAGGTGCAGCCATCACGCCCGGCTAATTTTTGTATTTTTAAGTAGAGTTGGGGTTTTACAACGTTGGCCAGGCTGGTCTTGAACTCCTGACCTCAAGTGATGCACCCGCCTCGGCCTCCCAAAGTGCTGGGATTGCAGGCGTGAGCCACTGCGCCCAGCCTGATGCACCCACCTCAGCTTCCCAAAATGCTGGGATTGCAGCGTGAGCCACTGGCCTGGCCTGAGATGGCTTTTAAAGTGGGTATGAGGAGCTCCATGCCCATGACCCTCCTGGAAAATGTGATGATACCAAGAACATTTTGAATATAGTTGAGGAGACCTGTATCAGTGTCCTGGGGCGATTGTAACAAAGTATACAAACTAGGCGGCTTAAACAACAGAAATTTATTTTGTCACAGCCTGGAGGTGAGAAGTCTAAGGTCAAGATGTGGGCAGGGCTGGGCTCCCACTCAGGGCGCTGGGGGAGGCTCAGTCTCGGGCCCCTCCTGGCTTCTGGTGGTCCCCTGGCCTGTGGCAGCATCGCCCGCTCTCTCTGCATGTGGCGTTCTCCCTGTGTGCCTGTCTGCTTCTGTGTCCAAATTACTCTTGTTACAAGGACACAGTCATATGGGATCAGGGCCCACCCTACTCCAGTGTGACCTCATCTCAATTACTTTCCTCTGCAATGATCCTACTTCCAAATAAGGTCACATTCGGAGGTCCTGGGAGTTAGGACCTCAGCATATGAGTTCTGGGGGGATGCATTTCAACTCACGGCAAGACAAATCCACGTTGTTAATATCAAGCACGCGAGTCTTCCTGTTTCCTGGGAACTGATGGGTACCCTCAGTGCTCCTGAGGTTGACTTGAGTGTTGACCGGCCAATTCTGGGCAAGTGACCCAGTCGCTGTAACTCTAACTCTCCATCCTTACTCTAAGGAGAGTAGGGATGTGCACTTCTTGTGGTTGGAGGGATTAGCAGGGGAGACACATGGAAACGGCTTGGCCCAGTTCCCAGAGCCTGATGGCCTTTTTGGTATTAGCACCTCGGAACGTGACCAGAACCGTGGTCTGCAGGGCTGCATGCAGAGTGGGGGCAGAGGAACACAGGCATTTCTTGTCCTAAGGGATTTGGGCGTCTTGCTTCTGGGGAGCACTTCCTTTTCCACCCATCCCCAGGGTGGGTCCAGCCCACTCCTCTCAGCCCCTCAGCACCTTGCAGGTATGGAAGGGTCAGCACAGGCCATGCTCCTCCCCAGATCTGCCCAGTCCTGCTGAGGGCCAGCAGCATGCCCTGGCACTCGTCTGTGCCTTCTGGTGCACGGACTCGCTGTGGTGCCCATCCTGCCCCGTCTACCACCTCGTGGTGCTCCCGCTCCCTGGCAGGACCTTGTTCTGAGGTCTCCTCTGTGCAGTCAGCACCATGCACCCCACAGCAAGGCCTCCCAGCAGCTTCTTGTTGACGGGTCTCAGGGTGGGCACTTCATCTGCAGGCCTGGTGCAAAAGGAACATGCGGGGCCTCTTGTTATAAATGATTCAGAATTTCAAGATGGCAGAGCAGGTGTTCAGCATGGGTGTCGGGTCTGCGTGTGACTCCATCGGTTGGACGCCCGTGAAGCCCTGGCTGGTGCCAGATAAGCCACAGTCTCCCGGAAGCACATATTGTTCAAAATGCGATGCCATCCTGGGGTGCAGAGGAGCACACAGGCGAGAGGACCCGGCCTGGCGCAGCCCACCCCGACCTGTCACCACCTATGAAATTGGATCCTTCCCGAGAGCGAGGACCTGTGCCAAGCCCCTCAGCACCTCTGGGGCGTTCTGACTGATGCCTGTTATTGACAGCACCATGTTCCTCTGGGAGAAGTGGTTGAGACGAAGGGCTTGGGATAAATAAGCCACAGCATGCTGGGCCATGGTAGTTCCTGACTCTCCCTGTAAAGCAGAGGACAGACGCAATGATGTGCTGAAGAATATGATTTAATTATTTAAGTCATCCATTAGGCTTTCACACTTGAGTCATGACTTAGAGCACAGCGGGTCTGCCTGGAAGGGCTTTTTGCTTCTCCTGCTGCATGGTTCAGGGGTCCTTGGGTTCAGGGGCGAGGCGTTCTCTTGCACCCACCTCTAACTGTCCGGCACACTGCACCGTGGTCACTGCTCACGGACCATGCAGTAGACGGTTAGCCGTGCCCACAGAGCGCCTGGCTTTGGCCCTTGACCTTTGGTCCCTGGGAGGTTGGTCCCCAGGCCACTGGGGTGTCCTGTCGGGAGCACTTTGTTACCTGAGCACCTCAGGCCCCCCTAGATAGTGTGCGCTGACAATGGTGTTTATAGTGGGGACCTTGGGCCACACTCTATTGGCTTGACCTCCCAGGGCTGGACATGGAAGGCAGCCAGGGTCAGAAGTGAGGTGGTCCTGAGGACCCCCAAGCTCCGCAGTTAGTTTCATCAATGAGGTGGTCTTGGAACCCCCAAGGTCCACAGTTTGGGTGAGAAGTGAGGTGGTCTTGGGGCCCCCAGGCTACACAGCTGGGGTCAGAAGTGAGGTGATCCTAGGGGCCCCCACTTATCTATCAGTCCTACTAGAGAACGACTTTTCTGCAGCTCCAGTACAAGGCCCAGCGTGGAAGTGCTCAGCGAGTGTCTGATGGAGAAAGGAATGAATGGAAAGCTCTGGTTTGAAGAAAAGGCCCAGGCAAGGGGCGCATGGATCTGGGAGGGTCTCTGCAGGATGATCCAGAGCCGGGGGTCTCTGCAGCAGGATCTGGGAGGGTCTCTGCAGGATGATCCAGAGCCGGGGGTCTCTGCAGCAGGATCTGGGAGGGTCTCTGCAGGATGATCCAGAGCCGGGGGTCTCTGCAGCAGGATCTGGGAGGGTCTCTGCAGGATGATCCAGAGCCGGGGGTCTCTGCAGCAGGATCTGGGAGGGTCTCTGCAGGAGGAGGGAGGAAAGCCAGCACTGCCAGCCTCTGGGGAGAGCCAGGCTCTCTCATCCTACAGTGAATCCCAGTGGTCACGCCTTGTGCTCCTGAGATCCGAGGACAGCAGTGTTTGTCCAGACCCTTCCTCCCCGCCTTGCCCTCCAGGTCGCACCCTGATTTCTCCAACTTAATGTGCAGCTCCTCTCAAGCGGCGAAGGGCCCGGGCTCTAGAAAAGCAGCGCCAGCTTTTAAGTGGAGGTTCTCTCGGATGGCCCTGGAGCAGGGCCGGTTTCTTGAGTTGGGACGCAGGTGATGCCCTCACCCTTGGGGCAAACGCACTTCCTGACCCTGGGGGTCACCTGGGGGGTACTGCACCCCGTATGCTTGCATCTGGCCACCTGCTGCCTCCCTGGTGAGAGGGCCCTGTGAGCCGGGGCATTGAGCCTGTCTCTGTGAGGCCTGACACAGAGCCAGCTCCAGAATCTCTCCTGTTGCTGCCGCCACTTCCGTTCAGAGCATGGCCGAGAGGGGAGAGCGCCTGGCAGCCTTCCCCAGGGTCCCAGGGCTCTGCTTTTCTGGGGATTGACTGATCCTCAGGATAGACACCCTCGTGGCGGCAAAATGGCTGCTCTAGGCCTCATAGTCACACACCACACCCCCAGGGAGAGAGGCCGTCCTTCCACTGTGTCAGCGTGCAGCCAGGCTTCTTACCCAGATGCCCCAGAAATCACCTGTGTGTCATTCATGACCCGTCACGGAACCAGTCCCCAGAGCCAGGGCCCAAGCCCAGCAGGTCCCAGTCTTGCAGCTGTGGTGGTCAGCCCATTTCCCCTGACACCCGTGAACCCATTGAGGAGTCTGATAATCAGAGTACAGTTACCAAGAGGAGGGGGATGGACGCAGCGGGGCCTAACATAGCAGGACTTCACTCTAGCACTCACTACTGATGAAACTGTTAGCTCAGATTCTTGGGAATTCATGAATTCCCAAGAATGTCTTTGGCCCAGGTTCTCCTTCTAGAGCTGGATCCCACAATGACAGACTCCTGGGCAACCTGTGGCAGCCGTGACTTTTGTATGTGTGGGGTCGTGTTACCTGCTGTCTCTCAGCGGTGGCTCTGGGGGCCACACGATCTCAGCTCCAGGTTCCCCAGAATGCAGCGCATGAGGCGGTGACTGAAGTGCAGGGCTTTGCTGTGGATGTGGTCACAGGGAATGGAGTGGGCGGGGAGGAGGGCAGTGCTGAGAGGCCACGCAGGAGGGGCAGTCTGGTGACCACGCAAGAGGGGACGTCTGGTGGCCATGCAGGAAGGGTGGTCCAGTGGCCGGGCAGGAGGGGTGGTCAGGTGGCCATGCAGGAGGGGCGGTCTGGTGGCCACGCAGGAGGGGCGGTCAGGTGGCTATGTAGGAGGGGCGGTCTGGTGGGGCCATCTGGTGGCCACGCAAGAGGGGACGTCTGGTGACCATGCAAGAGGGGACGTCTGGTGGCCATGCAGGAAGGGTGGTCCAGTGGCCGGGCAGGAGGGGCGGTCAGGTGGCTATGCAGGAGGGGCGGTCTGGTGGCCACGCAGGAGGGGCGGTCAGGTGGCTATGCAGGAGGGGTGGTCTGGTGGCCGGGCAGGAGGGGTGGTCTGGTGGCCGGGCAGGAGGGGCGGTCAGGTGGCTATGCAGGAGGGGTGGTCTGGTGGCCGGGCAGGGGGGGCGGTCTGGTGGCCACCCAGGAGGGTCGGTCCGGTGGCCATGCAGGAGGGGCAGTCCGGTGGCTGGGCAGGAGGGGTGGTCCGGTGGCTGCGCAGGAGGGTTGGTCGAGCGGCCGCGCAGGAGGGATGGTGGAGTGGCCGCGCAGGATGCCTGCTCTGACCTGCCTGACTATCTGTCTATGCTGTGACCTGTCTGGGTCTGTGCTGTGACCGCCTGGAAGCCGTGTGGACTGTGTCTCAGAGTCACCCCTTTGCTGGGGAGAGAGGAGGGAGTGTTATCCACTCCTTCGGCCCCCCCGCCGCTCAAAGTTTGCCCCATGTCTCATCTCACACATGCCAGGAACTTGCCCTTCAGGTCCCTGTGACGTGCTCTCCTGCACATAAGCAGGGAGGCCAGGGTGGCAGTGAAGGTACATGGGGTGGGCTGGAGGCAATATCTGCCAGCTGCACCTGTAGGAAGCTGGTTACTGCAGCGGTGGCCTCAGGAAGGGACAGGTGAGGCCATTTGGGTCTGCTGTGGTACGTAAGAGATGTCTACTGGGATGCTCTGAGAGCACAGCTTAGCAAGACAGCTTCCTGGAAAGATGGTACCCTTCTGTCCTGCAAAGGTCTGCTTGGGATGGGGATCAGGAGTAGCGTCTGAGCTGCCCAGCTTCAGGATCTGGCCTCGATAAGGGAAAGAAGAAACCATTCTCTGGACGTTGGTCCTATTGGAAACCGGAGAGTCAGTCAGGTGAAGACAGGATTTCAAGAGCCACTGTGTCCACAGATCTTAGGCAAGGATTGTTATAAACTCTTGATAAGTTTACACAACATTCGTCTACTTTTTACTTTTATAGGTTGTGTCATTTTCTCCAAGAGTCTTCTATTAGAGTTCTGTCACGGTGCTTTGGCAAAGACTGAGATTATCCTTCACAATGTATTTTTCTCACTTTCCATTTGCAAAGCATGTTGCTTGTCTACAGATAGAATGTATTGAAAACACAGTATGTTAACTGAAGAAATAGGTAGGAAAGGGATTTTAAGAAATACCTGCATTAAGGCTTGCTTCTCTTCTTGATTTTTCAAATTTAATAAGATCCAACTCCAGAAAGCTTGAATACAGAGATTTAGTTTAGAATTCATGAAGGAACAGGGCAGGAGTTTGCATATAAAATACAGCATTTTAAATATTCCACTTTCCCACCATCTCAGGGTTTTAGTTACAGACTACGGAATCCAAGTTAGCTTTTTAAATTTTTAATTTTTTTTAAATTTTACTGTAAGTTCTGGGATACATGTGCAGAACGTGCAGGTTTGTTACATAGGTATACATGTGCCATGGTGGTTTACTGCCCCTATCAACCCGTCATCTAGTTTTTAATCACCACATGCATTAGGTATTTGTCTGAATGCTCTCCCTCCCCTAGCCCCCAACCCCCTGACAGGTCCCGGTGTGTGATGTTCCCCTCCCTGTGTCCATGTGTTCTCATTGTTCAACTCCCACTTACGAGTGAGAACATGCGGTGTTTGGTCTTCTGTTCCTGTGTTAGTTTGCTGAGGTTGATGGCTTCCAGCTTCAGCCATGTCCCTGCAAAGGACATGATCTCTTTATTTATTTATTTTATTATACTTCAAGTTCTAGGGTACATGTGCACAACGTGCAGGTTTGTTACATAGGTATACATGTGCCATGTTGGTTTTCTGCATCTATCAACTTGTCGTTTACATTAGGTATTTCTCCTACTGCTATCCCTACCCCAGCCCCCCACCCCCCGACAGGCCCCAGTGTGTGATTGTTCCCCGCCCTGTGTCCATGTGTTCTTGTTGTACAACTCCCACCTATGAGTGAGAACATGTGGTGTTTGGTTTTCTGTCCTTGTAATAGTTTGCTGAGAATGATGGTTTCCAGCTTCATCCATGTCCCTGCAAAGGACATGAACTCATCCTTTTTTATGGCTATATATTATTCCACGGTGTATACGTGCCACATTTTCTTAATCCAGTCTATCATTGATGGACATTTGGGTTTCCAAGTCTTTGCTATTGTGAATAGTGCCACAAAAAACATACATGTGCATATGTCTTTGTAGTAATATGATTTATAATCCTTTGGGTATATATCCAGTAATGGGATCGCTGGGTCAAATGGTATTTCTAGTTCTAGATCCTTGAGGAATTGCCACACTGTCTTCTTCCACAGTGCTTGGACTAATTTACACTCCTACCAACAATGTAAAAGTGTTTCTATTTTCTCCACATCCTCTCCAGTATCTGTTGTTTCTTGACTTTTTAATGATCGCCATTCTAACTGGTGTGAGATGGTATCTCATTGTGGTTTTGATTTGCATTTCTCTAATGACCAGTGATGATGAGTATTTTTTCATATGTCTGTTGGCTGCGTAAATGTCTTCTTTTGAGAAGTGTCCATATCCTTTGCCCACTTTTTGATGGGGTTGTTTTTTTCTTGTAAATTTAAGTTCTTTGTAGATTGTGGATATTAGCCCTTTGTCAGATTGGTAGATTGAAAAGATTTTCTCCCATTCTGTTGGTTTCCTTTTCACTCTGATGATAGTTTCTTTTGCTGTGCAGAAGCTCTTTAGTTTAATTAGATCCCACTTGCCTATTTTGGCTTTTGTTGCCATTGCTTTTGGTGTTTTAGTCATGAAGTCCTTGCCCATGCCTGTGTCCTGAATGATATTGCCTAGGTTTTCTTCTAGGGTTTTTATGGTGTTAGGTCTTACATTTAAGTCTATAATCCATCTTGAATTAATTTTTGTATAAGGTGTAAGGAAGGGATCCAGTTTCAGCTTTCTACATATGGCTAGCCAGTTTTCCCAGCACCATTTATTAAATAGGCAATCCTTTCCCCATTGCTTGTTTTTGTCAGGTTTGTCAAAGATCAGATGGTTGTAGATGTGTCATGTTATTTCTGAGGCCTCTGTTCTGTTCCATTGGTCTATATCTCTGTTTTGGTACCAGTACCATGCTGTTTTGGTTACTGTACCCTTGCAGTATAGTTTGAAGTCAGGTAGCATGATGCCTCCAGCTTTGTTCTTTTTGTTTAGGATTGTCTTGGCTATGCGGGTTCTTTTTTGGTTCCATATGAACTTTAAAGTAGTTTTTTCCAATCCTGTGAAGAAAGTCAGTGGTAGCTTGACAGGGATAGCATTGAATCTATAAATTACTTTGGGCAGTATGGCCATTTTCATGATGTTGATTCTGCCTATCCATGAGCATGGAATGTTCTTCCATTTGTTTGTGTCCTCTTTTATTTCACTGAGCAGTGGTTTGTAGTTCTCCTTGAAGAGGTCCTTCACATCCCTTGTAAGTTGGATTCCTAGGTATTTTACTTTCTTTGTAGCAATTGTGCATGGGAGTTCACTGATTATTTGGCTCTTTGTTTGTTATTGATGTATAGGAATGCTTGTGATTTTTGCACATTGAGTTTGTATCCTGAGACTTTGCTGAAGTTGCTTATCAGCGTAAGGAGATTTTGGGCTGAGATGATGGGGTTTTCTAAATATACAATCAGGACATGAACTCTTTATTTCTTGTGGCTGCATAGTATTCCATGGTGTATACGTACCACGTTTTCTTTATCCAGCCTATCACTGATGGGCATTTGGGTTGGTTCCATGTCTTTGCTATTGTAAATAGTGCTGCCCAAGTTAGCTTTTTAAGGGAGAGAGTGTTAGGGGCTTCAGCATACCTGGGAGGGCAGGGACATGGCATATATGCCACCGAGCCAGGGGCACACCAGGCAGGAGATATGTCCACCCAGAAATGCAGAAACCCCACCTGATCCCCCGCTGGGCTCCCCACTTGCAATGCCAGAGCTGGGATGGGAAAACCCCTTCCACAGCTGCTGGAGGAGAGCTCCAGGTGTCCACCTGTGGCTGCCACGAGATCTAATTTCCCTGTGTGGGCTGCCCCCTTTCACACTGACTTCTGCCTGGAGGCCCTGGTCACATGTGGAATGGTAGCTGCAAATCATCTGGGAAGTGACCTTGGCCTTCCTATACAGATTGTACGAGAACCACAGGCATGTGCCTGGGCCGGGAGTTGAGCTTGCTACATGCAACAACTTCCACAGTACGACTCCCAAGTCTTTCCTCTTTCTGCCTCCTGTACTTCCCCTCATTCCCACCCACTGCCCTCGCTGTCCTCTCCCACATCTGCACATCATCGCACACCTACCTGCCTTCCGCTGCAGGCACGCGGGCCTCCCTGCTGCAGCCCACAACCCCTCGGAAGGGCAGTCTCATGCCCACACAGTTTTTTCTCTTGTGAGGAGAAACTCCCTGGAATTCTGTTGGGTATAAATTTCCATCTCATTATATTTCTATGCTTATTAAAAGTATTTGGTTGTGGCCTGCAACAGGCACTTCTGTTGTCAACCTGTGGTTATGAATGTGTCAGGAAGATACTCCCTCCACCTGCCCTCCTGGGTAGATGCTCTTCTGTGGAGTAAATGGCTATCCTCTTGGGTAGATGGTGCCCTCTTGGGTAGATGGTGCCCTCTTGGTGGGTTGCCCATGGTGCTGCCTCTTGTAGAAAGAAATTGAAATTCCAGTTCTCTTTAATTTGCCTCTGACCCCAGCTCTTTCTCCACCTTCCTTTGCCAGTACTCTGGTTCTACTTTATGCTACTTTATTTCCTGTGTTTATTTAAAAGACCTGCACACTGTCTTCAGCACAGTTAAAAGCAAATTGAGTTCCTCCCAGGAAGCAGCAGAGGCACAAAAGAGGCTGAACCAAAGGATAGTCAGAATAATATGGAAAGAGACAGAAGAACTGAAGGAAAAAGAAAAACGATTGTGTGGGAAGGAAGTAGCAGGGCCCTCCTGTCCCCTTTGTCATGAGATACATGGAGATATAAACTCTAGTTCCAAATTTAGTTAAAGTATATTCTTTGTAGGATCAAATTTTAAAATAATTTTAGAAATCAAAATGCTATCCAGTGACTAAGAACCAGGAGCAGAAACAGCCCAGGCCAACTGAAGACAAAGGCTCCATTTTGCTATTAGATTGAAATATGAGATGTATCCAAGGATTAAAGCAGTGAAAAACCAAAAAGAAATAATTTAAACCGCTCTTGTTGCAGTAGCTCTATAACCTCTCCTTCAGGGTGAGTAATGATTGCTGTCAATCAAGTAAGAAAATATTCCCATTTCATGACTCCAATTATCTACAAACAAGCTTTCTGAGGTGGAGGAGGTTGGTTAAAAATACTGGGTGTAGGCCAGGTGTGGTGGCTCATGCCTGTAATCCCAGCACTTGGGGAGGCTGAGGCAGGAGGATCACCTGAGGCCAGCAGTTTAAGACCAGCCTGGGCAACATGGTGAGACCTCATCCCTACAAAAATTTAAAACTTAGCTGGGTGTGGTGGTGCACATCTGTGGTCCCAGCTACTTGGGAGGCTGAGGTGGTAGGATCTCTTGAGCCCAGGAGGCGGAGGTTGTAGTGAGCCAAGATTGCACCACTGCACTCCAGCAGGGGCGACAGTGAGACCCTTTCTCAAAAAAAAAAAAAAAAAATACTGGGTGTAGAGGCCTAATTTTCCTTCCTCTGTGTCTATATCGTGCTGCTGTAAGAATGGAGTTTTTATTTGTAAATAAAATAATTCACTTATTTTGACCATCTTTCCATTGACCTTTGTAACCTCAGTGATTTGCTTGAGGAAGTTAAGAGGCAGTTGCCATCCACAGCACATAATTGAAACAGTGAGTTAGGGCCGGAAGTGGTGGCTCACGCCCGTAATCCCAGCACTTTGGGAGGCCAAGGCAGGTGGATTACTTGAGGCCAGGAGTTTGAGACCAGCCTGGCCAACATGGTGAAACCCCATCTCTACTAAAAATACAAAAAATTAGCTGGGTGTGGTGGTGCACGCCTGCAATCCCAGCTACTTGGGAGGCTGAGGCATGAGAATTGCTTGAACCCAGGAGGTGAAGGTTGCAGTGAGCTGAGATCGCGCCACTGCACTCCAGTCTGGACGACAGAGTGAGACTGTGTCTCAAACAAACAAACAAACAACAACAAAAAAACAAAAACCAAAAAAAGAAACAGTGGTTAGGCTATCAGTTTGTGATCTTTCTGTCTTTTTGATGTAGGCGTTTAGTGGTATACACTTTCCTCTTAGCACTGCTTTTGCTTTACCCCAGAGATTTTTGATAACTTGTCACTATTATCATTCATCTCGAAAAATTTAAAAATTTCCTTCTTGATTTTATTGTTGACCCCAGAATCATTCCCACTAGAAAGTGGGCAAACGACATGAACAGATATTTCTCAAAAGAAAACATACAGGGCCAGTGTGGCGGCTCACGCCTGTAATCCCAGCACTTTGGGAGGCTAAAGTAGGAGGATTGCTTAAGCCCAGGAGAAGTTCAAGACCAGTCTGGGCAAGATAGTGAGACCTTGTCTCTATTTTTTTAAAAAAATGGTATTGATGGGATGTATCTCAAAATAATAAGAGCTATTTATGACAGACCCACAGCCAATATCATACTGAATGGGCAAAAACTGGAAGCATTCCCTTTAAAAACTGGCACAAGACAGGGATACCCTCTCTCACCACTCCTATTCAACATAGTGTTGGAAGTTCTGGCCAGGGCAATCAGGCGAGAGAAAGAAATAAAAGGTATTCAATTAGGAAAAGAGGAAGTCAGATTGTCCCTGTTTGCAGATGACATGATTGTATATCTAGAAAACCCCATCGTCTCAGCCCAAAATCTCTTTAAGCTGATAAGCAACTTCAGCAAAGTCTCGGGATACAAAATCAATGTGCAAAAATCACAAGCATTCTTATACACCAATAACAGACAAACAGAGAGCCAAATCATGAGTGAACTCCCATTCACAACTGCTTCAACGAGAATCAAATACCTAGGAATCCAACTTACAAGGGATGTGAAGGACTTCTTCAAAGAGAACTACAAACCACTGCTCAACGAAATAAAAGAAGACACAAATGGAAGAACGTTCCGTGCTCATGGATAGGAATAATCGATATCGTGAAAATGGCCATACTGCCCAAGGTAATTTATAGATTCAATGCCATCCCCATCAAGCTACCAATGACTTTCTTCACAGAATTGGAAAAAACTACTTGAAAGTTCATATGGAACCAAAAAAGAGCCCACATTGCCAAGTCAATCCTAAGCCAAAAGAGCAAAGCTGGAGGCATCACGCTACCTGACTTCAAACTATACTACAAGGCTACGGTAACCAAAACAGCATGGTACTGGTACCAAAACAGAGATATAGACCAATGGAACAGAACAGAGCCCTCAGAAATAATACCACACATCTACAACCATCTGATCTTTGACAAACCTGACAAAAACAAGCAATGGGGAAAGGATTGCCTATTTAATAAATGGTGCTGGGAAAACTGGCTAGCCATATGTAGAAAGCTGAAACTGGATCCCTTCCTTACACCTTATACAAAAATTAACTCAAGATGGATTAAAGACTTAAATGTTAGATCTAAAACCGTAAAAACCCTAGAAGAAAACCTAGGCAATACCATTCAGGACATAGGCATGGGCAAGGACTTCATGACTAAAACACCAAAAGCAATGACAACAAAAGCCAAAATTGACAAATGGGATCTAATTAAACTAAAGAGCTTCTGCACAGCAAAAGAAACTACCCTCAGAGTGTACAGGCAACCTACAGAATGGGAAAAAATTTTTGCAATCTACTCATTGGACAAAGGGCTAATATCCAGAATCTGCAAAGAACTCAAACAAATGTACAAGAAAAAAACAACCCCATCACAAAGTGGGTGAAGGATATGAACAGACACTTCTCAAAAGAAGACATTTATGCAGCCAACAGACACATGAAAAAATGCTCATCATCACTGGCCATCAGAGAAATGCAAATCAAAACCACAATGAGATATCATCTCACACCAGTTAGAATGGCAATCATTAAAAAGTCAGGAAACAACAAGTGCTGGGGAGGATGTGGAGAAATAGGAGCACTTTTACGCTGTTGGTGGGACTGTAAACTAGTTCAACCATTGTGGAAGACAGTGTGGCAATTCCTCAAGAATCTGGAACTAGAAATACCATTTGACCCAGCCATCCCAATACTGGGTATATACCCAGAGGATTATAAATCATGCTGCTATAAAGACACATGCACATGTATGTTCATTGCGGCACTATTCACAATAGCAAAGACTTGGAGCCAACCCAAATGTCCATCAGTGATAGACTGGATTAAGAAAATGTGGCACATATACACCATGGAATACTATGCAGCCATAAAAAAGGATGAGTTCATGTGTTTTGTAGGGACATGGATGAAGCTGGAAACCATCATTCTCAGCAAACTATCGCAAGGACAAAAAACCAAACACCGCATGTTCTCACTCATAGCTGGGAATTGAACAATGAGAACACTTGGACACAGGAAGGGGACTATCACACACTGGGTGGGGGGAGGGGGGATAGCATTAGGAGATATACCTAATGTAAATGACAAGTTAACGGGTGCAGCACACCAACATCGCACATGTATACATATGTAACAAACCTGCACGTTGTGCACATGTACCCTAAAACTTAAAGTATAATAATAAAAAAAAATAAAAATAAAAAAAGAAAATATACAATTGGCCAATAAACAAACATATGAAAACATGTTCAACATCACCAGTCATTGGGGATATTAAAGCCACAATGGGATGCCACGTTACCCAGCCATAATGGCTACTATTATTATTTGTTCAGTCAGGATCTCGTTCTGTCGCCTAGGCTTGAGTGTTGGTGCAAATATGTCTCATTGCAGCCTCGACCTCCTGGGCCCAAGTGATACTCCCACTTCAGCCTCCCAAGTAGCTGGGATCACAGATATGTGCCACCACACCCAGCTAAGTTTTACATTTTTTTGCAGGGACAGGGTCTTGCCATGTTGCCCAGGCTGGTCTTGAACTCCTAGGCTCAAGTGATCCTCCTGCCTCGGCTTCCCAAAGTGCTGGGATTACAGATATGAGCCACAGTGCCCAGCAACAGTAGTTTCAATACATAAGGTTTTGTTTTTTTCTCTGGGTGGGCTATCCAGGGATGCTCAGAGCTTCCATGAACCCCAGGGTCCTCTGCTCCTTGCGGTGTCCTGGCCTGCCAACCCTAGATTGTAGTCCTGGTCCTCATAGCCCTAAATGACAGCTGGAACTCCAGCTGACATGCCTGCTGGAGGTCAGCAGGAAGAAGGAAGTGTCAAAAGGGGTGTGCCTCCTCCCCTTTAGGGTACTTCACAGAGTTACTCTTGCTAGAGTTGGGTCACATGGCACCAAGTCGCTGCTGGGCATGGTGGTAAATGTAGTCACTGAGCTGGTGGCAATGGCACAGGTAAGAATCAGTGTTTGTCATGAAAGAAGACGGGAGTGGACATGGGGTGGTAATGAACAGCCTCCACCACAGCTGAACTGGACAGAAGGCTCCATCTTTACAGATTGCTTTCTTTAAAGTGCAAGAGGGCTGGGCCTCCCCTCTGAGGCCCTGGGCTCAGCACCTCTGCCTGTGTGTCACATGTATCTCATGAAGCTCCATTTTCTGGAACAGCCTGGGTGGCTGAAGGGACATGTCCCTCTGCCTTTCTGATGGGTTTCTGAGTTTCTTCCATTTGATCTTAAGGAAACTAAGTGCTTTCCTGGATAATGCTCATTGCTGGCTTTTAATGCCCTATGAACATAGCCAATTCTGTCTCCTCCGGCCCTTTGAGAGTCGAGCAAGGGGGTGAAATAACTGGAAGAAGCCTTCATTGTAACCTCACAGTACAATCTCCTTCCTCATCACCCTTCCTATGGCGACTGTTTCAAACAAAACAGAATGAAGCAACTGTATCAGTTCCTAGAGTGGCTGTAATAAACTGCCACAAACTGGGGGGCTTAACACATTAGAAATTTCTTCTCTCAAGTCCTGGAGGCAGAAGTCTGAGGTCCAGGTGTGGGCAGGGCTGTACCTTCCCGGCCTCTGGCGCTGTACCTTCCCGGCCTCTGGGGCTGTGGCCGTCCTTGGCACTCTGTGGTTGCGGCTGTGCAGCTACCATCTCTGCCTCCGTTGCCCCACGGCCGTCTTGCCTCTGTGTGCCCATCTTCACGGGGCCTTCTCTCTGTGTCTCTTCTCTTCTTATCAGGACACAGGCATATTGGATTAAAGGCCCACCCTACTCCAGTATGACCCTCATCTTATATCTTAATTACATCGCAAAGACCCTATTTCCAAATAACATCACATTTTCAGGTACTGGGGTTTAGGACTTCATCATATCTTTCTTGGGGGAACACAGTTCAACCCGCCACAGCACAAGTGCACGCCCGAGGCTGGTGTGGAGCCACCCCTCACTGGCGGGGCTGCTGGCTGATGGATGGCACCTGTTGGGATCCGTGGGGTCTGTGCTGCACTGGGGTCTAAGTAGTTCAGTATCATCTGTGCATGTGCTTGATCGTTTTATTTTTTTCTTTCGTTTTTAAGAGACGGAAGTCTTGCTGTGTTGCCCAGGTTGGAGTGCAGTGGTGCAATCTCAGCTCACTGCAACCTCCGACTCCCGGGTTCAAGTGATTCTCATGCCTCAGCCTCCCAAGTAGCTGGAATTACAGGTGCACGCCACCATGCCTGGCTAATTTTTGTATTTTTTAGTAGAGATGGGGTTTCACCATGTTGGCCAGGCTGGTCTCAAACTCCCGACCTCATGTGATCCACCCACGTCAGCCTCCCAAAGGTGTGACCCACCGCACCCGAACTGCGCTTGATCTTTTGCCAAACTGCGCTTGATCTTTTAACTCTTCTACTGGTACTGGTAGCATAGGATCTTAAAGGGTGGGGAGGAGAAGAAAGAAAAAGACCTAAGTCTTCCCGAGGCTCTTGGTTACGCATCTGGGAAGAAGCACTGGCCCTCAGCATGGTCGTCTCTGAGACTGGATCCTTGCGGCTCTGAGCGTGCTGTGTGGAGCCGATGCATTGATATCTCCTGGGAACTTGCTAGAAATGAGGGCTCTCAGGCCCCACCAGTCCTACTGAACCCAGCTCCTCATGTTACAGGCTGCAGGGTGACTTGTGTACACGTTAAGTTTGAGAAACGCTGGACTGGTCCCTGTTAAATCCAGAAGGGCTGTTGGTCTAATGGCTGAGGGCCTCTCACTGGGAAGAGACAGGAAGAAGGCTGGCAGGGTAGGTGGTGAGGGACAGAGCCGTGTGTGTCCTGGGGCTGACTGCAGGGGTCATTGGAAGAGCTGCAGCGAGAGGCTGAGGTTGCCGTGCATCACAGAGTCCCTTCCCAGCATGGAGGAGCCGGGCAGAGGGGTGCGCATGGGCAGGGGGTGTGCCAGGAGAGGCAGGGGTGCAGGAGAGGCACCCGCAGGGTGCTGGGCACTCCATGGTGGTCTCTACCCGCTCCCCCACTCACCAATTGATACCTCGTAAAATTTACTACCTACTGTGACTGGATTTTTTGATAGATGAAGGTTTTAAATTTTACAGTTACTCACTTATGCAAATGTCCATTGGAGACAATGAGCTCCTTGAAGTAGTGAAGTGACAAATGATGAACCAGGGGAGCAGGAGGCAGAAGGTGCCTGAGGGCAGAGGCTGGGGAACGGGGAGGCTGACACCAGGGGCACATGGTGGCCCCCATCTAGTTACTTTTGATTCTTCACAATGTAGAAGCTGTGGCTTGGGAGGCTAGAGGCTGACTCCTGCACCTGCCTGTGCACCTGGAGCTTGAGGGAATCCCAGCCCTCACTGCTTCCTGTGACAGAGCAGAGTGTGTGTTCTGAAGGTCAGAACTGGAGGTCAAGCCCAGGGTGAGCCCCTCTGTCTCTGTAACCGGAGGCAGGATCCTCCGTTTTCCTGTTGATAAAATGAGACTGTCAGGCCTCTGAGCCCAAGCCTGCACATATACATCCAGATGGCCTGAAGCAAGTAAAGAATCACAAAAGAAGTGAAAATGGCCGGTTCCTGCCCTAACTGATGACATTACCTTGTGAAATTCCTTCTCCTGGCTCAGAAGCTCCCCCACTGAGCACCTTGTGACCCCCGTCCCTGCCCACCAGAGAACAACCCCCTTTGACTGTAATTTTCCACTACCTACCCAAATCCTATAAAACAGCCCCACCGGTATCTCCCTTCGCTGACTCTCTTTTAGGACTCAGCCCGCCTGCACCCAGGTGAAATAAACAGCCTTGTTCCTCACACAAAGCCTGTTTGGTGGTCTCTTCACACGGACACGTGTGACAGAGACATCGACTGCACAGGGGTATTGGGACCACCCAAGAGGATAATAATACGGAGAAGTGCTTTGTCAGGTATCTGCCAAATGACTTTTGTTATGACGATTTTTAGAGTGTGGCAGATGCCCGTCTAAAGGGGCATCATTTTTGGAGCATTTGTTGACCAAAATAGTGGGATAGAAGACACAGCCGCTATTCTAAAAATGTGCATTTCTGATGCAGGGAGAAGTTATCGTCACGACGTGCTAAACAACACAACATACCAATGTCAAACGAGGCTATGGGGAGGGGCTCCAGGGCCAAAACCATGTGAGGCCATGTGGTCTCCATGATTGGACAAAGTCTTATGGAGGGTGTGAGACTTAACTGGGGCTCTCCCAGGTTGGAGAGAGAAAGGTGAGCAAACAGAGACGTTCACTGGTTCCCAACTGTTAGCCAGGGCAGAAAATCTGCGGCTATCTGCAGGGTGCACTAATTATACAGATTTGATGGAAGGCTGTATTCGGGGGTTTACTAGAGAGACTGAGTGCATAAATTTGATCAAGAAGATTAGAAAATGACCGAGGAAGTGGATAATCGGTTTTTACAATGGTGCGCTTGGAAATTCTAATTAGTAGTAGCAATTGGATTCTGCAATTTTTTCTTTGGTGAGTCCCAACAAAACCAATTAACTTGTGTTGCATCCATACATTACCACGCACACGACCATAAGCAAGGGAAGGCGTGCTGAGTCTAACTGCTGCCTTTTGGCTTTTAACAGAAAATCAATTCATTTTGGCACATTAAACCATTAGTGCCCATTGGATATGAATTTCCCCTTTTTCTTTAAATTTCTCTCCCGCTTCCCCTTTTTCTGTTATGGGGGAGGAAACTGTTGACTTTGAAGGCTGTGAATGGGAGGCTTCCCGGGAAATCGGGATAAACTCATGCACACTGATGTGTCTTTGGGCTTCAAGGAACTTTCTGATTGAATTCTCAAAGTCCTCAAGGCTTCTAAATTCTACAATCAAGCATCAGCTTTATGAATTCCATATTCCGTGAAGAGGTGGTGTCATTGAGAACCTGTTGGATGGATGTCATCAGCACTGTCTGAAGGGTTCCTCAGAGGTACAGCAGATTAGATGAGGAGGCACTTCTACACTAGGGATGGAAAATTAATGGTACCTGTGATGGTTAATGTTAGGTGTCAACCTGGCCAGGCTAGGCTAGGCTGTGCAGGTGTGTGGTCAAATGTTACTCCAGATGTCGTGAATATATATATATATTTATATATTTGGTTTATACTTATATAATATATATTATCATATATAGATATATAATACATATATTATGAATATATATAATATAGATATATAATACATATATTATAAATATATATAATATAGATATATAATACATATATTATAAATATATATAATATAGATATATAATACATATATTATAAATATATATAATATAGATATATAATACATATATTATAAATATATATTTATATAAATATATTTATGTATTTGGTTTATATATAAACCAAAATATATATATATTTGGTTTTTTTTTTTTTTTGAGACAGGGTCTCACTCGGTTACCCAGACTGGAGTGCGCTACACAATTATGGCTCACTGCAGCCTTGACCTCCCAGGCTCGAGTGATCTTACCTCAGCCTCCTGAGTGGCTGGGACCACATTCATGTGCCACCATGCCCAACACATTTTTTGATTTTTTATTTTTTGTAGAGATGGGGTCTTACTGTGTTGCCCAGGCTGTTCTTGAACTCCTTGGCTCAAGTGATCCTCCCGTCTTGGCCTCCTAAAATTCTAGGATTACAGGCATGAGCCACCATGCCTGGCTGTGAACATATTTTGTAGATATGATTAATGTTTACACTCAGTTGACTTTAAGTAAAGGAAATTACCCTCCCGTATATGGGTGGGCCTCACCCAATCAGCTGAAGGCCATAAGAGCCAAAACTGAGGGCTCCTGGGGAAGAAGGGATCCTGTCTGAAGATTAACATCGAAGTCCTGCCTGAGTTTCCAGCCTGCTGGGCTGCCCTACAGATTTTGGACTGGATGCTGAAACATCAGTCATCATCAGTTCTTTTTTTCAACATTTTTTTGAGACAGGGTCTTACACCACCATCCGGGCTGGAGTGCAGTGGCCTGATCTCAGCTCAAGTGATCCTCCTGCTTCAGCCTCCCGAGTAGCTAGGATTATATAGGTGCAAGCTATCACACCCAGCTAATTGTAAGTTTTTTGTAGAGACAAGGTCTTGTATGTTGACCTGGCTGGTCTCGAACTCCCGGCCTCAAGCAATCCTCCCACCTCAGCCTTGCAAAGTGCTGAGATTACGGGCATGAGCCACCGTGCCTGGCCCATCAGCTCTTACCTGAGTTTCCAGTCTGCTGTCCAGTCCTGCCAGCCCCCGCAATGCCGTGAGTCAATTCCTTAGCATCTCTCCCTCTCCATCTATGTCTAAATCTGTGTGTATATTTTTTTTTCTCTCTGTCTCCTATTGGTTCCATTTCTCAAGAGAACCCTGACTGGCACACTGCCCGCACCACCAACTGCTCTCTCGGGCCCAGGGTGGCGATGGGTTGTAGCCGCTGCCGATGCTCTTTCCTTCTGGTGCCAGATGCAGCTTCAGTATCATCTGCAAGTTGGGGGGACCGTGATGATTGGAGTCAGCACTTGAGAGGAAACGTGCTTGCTGTTCCAATTCTAGTGGATATTCTTCGTGGATGTTGACTAATAAAACAAATGGACATTCTCATGTTAGGTACCGTCTAATTAATTTTTCAACAAATATTTGTGGGCTTCTGATGCCCAAGTGCTGTGTTTAGTGTTACGGTGGATATCAGGAGGGATGAGACACAGAGCAGCAGAGATCTGGGCGGAGCATTTCTTTCCACACCCTCAGTGGGAGCTCCTGGAGGCCAGGGTGCGGTAAGCGGGCCGAGGCGGGGTGGAGTCCGACTAGTTTCCCACGACCTCGCCATCATGACAGCTTTCCAGGAACTGTAGAGAGAGAGAGGCAAGGACGGCACCCCTTGCAGGGAGGTCGGAAGCTGGGAGTGGACCTGCAGCCACCTGTGAACTCGATCCCAGAGCAGCCTGGGGTTCTTTGAAAGAGAGGGTGTGCCCGCCTGCCCTTTTTCAATTCTGGTGTTCACAGAGTGACCTCTAAAATCTCAATGTTCACTCTTTGAGAGATGGATCTACTAAAAGCCCAGATTCCACTACTATGCAATATAGACAAGCAAGAAGCTTGCACTCCTACCTCCTAAATATATAAAAATAAATAGCTAAAAAATAAAAGTCAAGTAGATATTACAGTGACAGTGGTTATGGGATGGATGAAAGAATCAATTTTTTTTTTTTTTTTGAGATGGAGTTTTGCTCTTGTTGTCCAGGCTGGAGTGCAGTGGCGTGATCTCAGCCCACCGCAGCCTTTGCCTCCCGGGTTCAAGTGATTCTCCTGCCTCAGCCTCCCGAGTAGCTGGGATTACAGGCATGCGCCACCATGCCTGGCTAGTTTTGTATTTTTTGTGGAGATGGGGTTTCTCCACGTTGGTCAGGCTGGCCTTGAACTCCCAACCTCAGGTGATCTGCGCACCTTGGCCTCCCAAAGAGCTGGGATTACAGGCATCAGCCACTGTGCTTGGTGAATCAAATTTTTAACCAGAAAGAGAGAGCAAAGGAAGGACTTTGAAATCAGTGTGTGTGTGTGTGTGTGTGTGTGTGTGTGTGTGTGTCAGTGTGTGCGTGCACACGGGTGGCACTGGTGGTTGTGGGGTAAGATTGATAGAACAGATGATGTCATTAATAAGTGTGGAGGAGCTTTTAAATTAACGGCAGCCCAAGGTTGGAGATTAATTTTTTAAATGTTTCTTAACCAGAAAAATGAAGCAAATGAATTCCGACAATTAGGAAGTAATGAAGACCTTTCGAGAATCGCTTATTAAAGACAGGAGATCAGGGAATTCCTAGTGCAGGTGAAGCCAGTGTCAATCAGCAGGCTCAGATGCCAGCGCCTTCGGGCACTGGGGGAATTGGCTTGCTCACTTTTGAACCCAAGTAGTCATCGTTGAAATATCTTGGAGAATGTGCCAAGAAAGGCAACGTAGGATCTGCAGCCCTTGCCACCGAGGGTGCCCCGCTGGGCCGGGGCCCTACTCTGTCCATCCAGCCCTCCATCCCGCCCCACCCCATGCTGCGTCAAAGGGCTGGCGGTCCTGCGTTGGGTCTGCATTGCTCTGATGCTCCTGGGACACGCCTGACCTTGTGACGGTGGCTGCTGACTGCTGGGAAGTATGAGCAGGGCCACTGCAGGCCTGGAAGGAAGTGAAGGACCGAGGGGCCTGGAAACAAAGGAGGACCTGGCACTGGAGAAGTGGACAATGGTCTTGGATGTCTGACACCTCATACGTCAGGAGCTTTTTTGATTGTTAGCTGCTAGCTTCTGCGTGATTTTTGTGTCTTTTAAATTTTTATTTTGTTTTTGTTTCCTTTACTTTTGGGGTCATATTCAAGAAATCATTGCCCAGACCAATGCCATGGAGTTTTTTTCACTGTTTTCTTCTAGTAGATGTCTAGTTTCAGGTCTCACATTGAAGTCTTTAATCCATTTTGAGTTGATTTTTGTAGATGGAGGGAGGTGAGTTTCATTATTCATCATGTGGCTCTCGTTTTCCCAACACCCTTTGTAGAAGAGCCTGTCCTTTCCCCCAGCGTGTGTTCCTGGTCTTGTCAAAGACCATCTGACTGTGACTGTGTGGATTTATTTCCGGGCTCTCTATTCTCTTCCATAGGCCTGGATGTCTGTTTTTGAGGCTTGGGCACTATGTTTTTTTTTTTTTTTTTTTGAGATGGAGTCTTGCTCTGTTGCCCAGGGTGGAGTGCAATCATGCGATGTTGGCTCACTGCAACCTCCGCCTCCTGGGTTCAAGTGATTCTCCTGCCTCAGCCTCCCGAGTAGCTGGCATTACAGGTGCCCACCACCATGCCTGGCTAATTTTTTAATTTTTAGTAGAGATGGGGTTTCGCCATGTTGGCCAGGCTGGTTTTGAACTCCTGACGTCAGATGATCCTCCCACCTCTGCCTCCCAAAGTGCTGGGATTACAGGCGTGAGCCACTGTGCCTGGCCTGGGCACCATCTTTTAAGATTAGCAGAGTGATTGTAAGGTGCTCCAGAGTTGACAACCACTGAGTTAGGGAAATTGCATTATGAAGGTTGTGTCTTCATGCATTATGAAGGTTGAGCTGCTGAATGCTGTAAACCGGGCAGATCTGGACCGTGGCATTTGGAAACCAGATCTCTTCCTGGCTTGCACAAGGCTGTCTTCTCATTATGTCCTCACATGGCCTTTCCTCGGTGGGTGCACTCAGGGCCTGGTGGGAGGGTGGGAGGGAGAAGGACCTCTTGTGTTTCTGTTTTTATAAGGACACTCATCTCTTCAGGGAGTCCCCACCCTTGTAACCTCATCTAACTCTGATCACCTCCCAAAGACCCCACCTCCAAATACCATCGTACTGGGGATGAGGGCTTGAAGATGTGAATTTTGAGGGAGACACAAGCATACAGACTGCAGCAGGTGGATTCTCAGCAGTTCATTACCCCTGCGACAGAAGTACAATTCCTCAAGACGGCAGAGACCAGGGCTTGCATCTCTGCATCCTTGCTGTGTGCCAGGCACCAAGCTGGCTGCTTCGTGGAGGTTTGGTCATATAATCTACAGATCCACCTGTGGACTTAGTATTCTTTTATTTTTTATTTTTTTTTTTGAGACGGAGTTTCACTCTGTCACCCAAGCTGGAGTGCAGTGGCATGATCTTGGCTTGCTATAAGCCCTGCCCTCTGGATTCAAGTGATTCTCCTGCGTCAGCCTCCCAAGTAGCTGGGATTACAGGCGCGCACCACCACGCCTGGCTAATTTTTGCAATTTAGTAGAGACGGGGTTTCACCATGTTGGCCAGGCTGGTCTTGAACTCCTGACCTCAGGTGATCCACCCGCCTCAGCCCCCCAAAGTGCTGGGATTACAGGCGTGAGCCACCTGGCCCAGCCTGGGCTTAATATTCTCATCGTCCTTTTATACATGAGGAAACAGGCTGACTCGCATATGACTGAGCAGCAAGCGAGTGCAGGAGGCAGGATTTAAATGGGTGGGGTCTGTGCGAACTCAGGGCCACAGCGTCCCCACTGGGCGTCCCCACAGCGCCCACACAGTGCTTTCCCACATGGCATCCCCACAGCGCCCCCAGAGCACATCCCCACAGCAGCCCCAGCGCGTCCCCACAGCGTGCCCACTGGGCGTCCCCACAGCATCCCCATCGGGTGTCCCCACAGCCCATCCCCACATTATCCCCACAGTGCCCCCACAGCCTGTCCCCACAGCGTCCTCACAGTGCATCCCCACGGTGTCCCTACGGGCGACCACACAGCGTACCCACAGCCTGTCCCCACAGCACATCCCCACAGTTTGTCCCACAGCGCCTCCACAGGGCGTCCCCACAGCGTGTCCCCACAGTGTCCCCATAGCACGTCCCCACAGCACACCCCCACAGCATCCCCACAGTGTCCCCACAGCACGTCCCCACAGCTTGCCTCCACAGTGCATCCCCACAGCATCCCCACAGCACGTCCCCACAGTGTCCCCACAGCATGTCCCCGTAGCACCCCCACAGTGCACTGAGGCATGCAAAGGCACCTCTGTGGGCTGAATGGTGCCTCCCAGATCCATGTGTTGCATCCTCATCCCCAGGACCTCAGAATGTGACTGCTTTTGGAAATAGGGTCTTTCAAGAGTAATGAAGGGTAATGAAGTTAAAGTGAGGTCATCAGGGTGGGCCCTAACCTGGTGGGACTGGTGTTCCTATGACCAGGGGAGATTGGGACACAGACATGCAGCACAGACGACCACATGAAGACACAGGGAGAAGACGGCCATCTACAAGCCAAGAAGAGAGGCCCCGGGGAGAAACCCACCCTGCCGACACCTTGATTTCTGACTTCCAGCCTCCAGAACTGCGAGGAAAGAAGCCGCTCTTGTTTCTGGCACCCTGTCTGTGGCTCTTTGTTACAACAGCACTAGCAAACGAGTACAGTGTTCATATTTAAAATCTTCACAAATGCCGATGCCTGTCGAACCAAAACAAAATAGTCTGTTTGCCACCACAGCCCGGACCTGTGAAGTTTCAAATGATAGAAGTCACTTAGTAAAAGCTGCCTGCAGACTTTCCCCCCTGGCTGGACCAGGAATCTTGGGGTGGAGGTTTTTGGATGTTGACCAAGCCAGCTTGGAAAAGGGGAATAACATGAGAACTCTGCTTAAACTTGGAAAGATTATCTTCCCCTGGATGCTGTCTTGCATTGTTTTTAAATAATAATAATGATACCGGCTGGTTTGAATGCTTACTGTGCTGGGTGTGGATCTACGTGCCTCACATGTATCAGTGACTCTACTTCTCACAAACTCTGTGGATGCCCTGTTTTTACAGATGCGGAAAGTGAGGCATAGAGAGATATAAAAATAGTTAAAGAAAGAAAGAAAGAAAGAAAAAGCTCGGCAAAACCAGCTCAACTAATGTGCCATATTTATATTATTCAATACATTGTCCAGGCAAAGATATAAGCTCCTCTCTGTGTAATGAGATGTTGTTCATAGTGGATTAAGGGATGGGCTTGCCAGGAAGCTGCCTAAGGCACTGATATACGTTGAGACCATATGTGAATAATCTGAAACACAGGGCCAGGTGCCTCTGGTCTCCCCATGTTTGTTTGTCCATGATGAACAAAGCAATAGCCTCACACATCTCAGAGACTACCTTTAAAATAATTCATCACCAGCAACTCCAAATAGGGAAAAATGATATATTACATTCAGGGTACTTAATGCATGTTTTATTTGGAATACAAAGAGTTGTTACATGTTTATGAATAGAAAAGTAATTTCTTCCTACCTGCACTGGTCAAATATGTAGACTGGCTCTGAAGGGGTGACTCGTTACTCTCTTGGGTACTCCTCCTGTTTCTCTCACTGTTTGCTACCCCTTTCCCACACTCCTGCCACATTCTAGTCCTCATGTAGAGCACCCTAAAGCCACTCCTGAGCCCAGAACACTGCCCGAGCCAGCCTGCAAATAGAACTGCAGATAAAAGGACGCCCAGCAGAAACTTAGATTTCTGATGAACAACACGTCATTTTTTAGCATAAGCGTGTCCCATATGATATTTATAGCACAAATATTGCATGGGACATACTTATACTAAGACATTATTCATTGTTTATCTGAAATTAAAAACGACGTGTGTGTCTTGTATTTTTCTTTGTTTAATCTGGCCACCATACTTGCAAAGGTAGACGACATTAATGGATTTAACCTAATTTTTTGGAGGAAAATGTGTGGCCGGGTGTGGTCGCTCACATCTGTAATCCTAGCACTTTGAGAGGGCGAGGCAGATGGATCACTTGAGTCCAGGTGTTTAAGACCAGGCTGGCAACCTAGAGAGACCACATTTCTACCAAAAAATACAAAAAATTAGCTGGGTATGGTGGTGTGCACCTGTAGTTCCAGCTACTGGGAAGGCTGAGGTGGGAGGATTGCTTGAGCCCAGGACATTGAGGCTACAGTGAGCCAAGATGGTACCATTGCACTCCAGCCTGGGTGACAGAGCCAAACCCTGTCTCAAAAAAAAAAAAAAAAAAAAAAAAAAAAGAAAAAGAAAATGTGTGTGTTGTGGAATTGTATGAATTACTGATTGGGTAGGTTAATCTTCAGTTTGCAGTTTAACGGTTTTATGAGTGATGATAAATATATGAACATGACTCCCCCTTACAGAACTCAACTCCTCCCTACATGGCCTCCCCGAGCGCCCTGCACCTCCCCGAGCGCCCTGCACTTCCCCAAGTGCCCTGGACCTCCCAGGGCACCCTGCACCTCCCAGGGCACCCTGCACCTCCCCGAGCACCCTGAACCTCCCTGAACGCCCCGCACCTCACCTAGCACCCTGGACCTCCCCGAGCGCCCTGCATCTCCCCGAGCACTCTGCACCTCACCGAGCACCCTGCACCTCACCGAGCATCCTGCATCTCACCTAGCGCCCTGCATCTCACCGAGCGCCCTGGATCTCACCGAGAGCTCAGGGTTCCTCTCCCTTGTCAGTGTGCCCACCCGGCCCGGTGCCCGCATCCTGCCCTCCTAACCCCCGCTCCGCCTTCCATGCGCTCTCCTCATTACTCGTTCACAGCTGTGCTTGTGAAACCTGCCGGAAGAGTCGGAGAGCGATGTGGATTCTGAATTGGGTGAACCTCAGCAGCTTTCTTAACCCGGTTTCCAGGCCTCCAAATGGAGGCTGTGACTTGAGGTCAAGGTTGGTGGCAGGCGCGGTGAGGGGACGCGGGGATGCTTGGCCCGGACCCCTCTGGGTGCCGGGTGCCTTCTGCTCTGTGCTCTGCCCCCCAAGGTTCTGGAGGGCGGGGGTTGCAGGCTGGGGCGCTCCCCCTTCGCCCCGGCCCTCGGTGGGCGCCTCTGACCTGGGCCGTAGTTTCCAGGCCCGCGCGTCCCCGAGGCGGACGCCAGAGGGCGCGCGCCCCCCACTCCTGCCCGCGTCGGGGCCGCAGCCGCGCTCCGCCCTTTGCCTGCAGAGCGCTGGGGGTTTAAAGTCCTGAACCCATGCACGGCTGTTCATTCTCAGAGGTCCCTTGGGTTGAAATCTGAAGGAATGGAGCAAAAGCGGCCTGCAGCAGCCCTTTTAAGTGATGTTAAAATCTTTTCATTACGTGCAGTAGCAATGAACCACGTGGGATTTGGCTGAGAGAGCGAAGGATTTTGTGATTTTGCCTTTGGAGTAAACGTGCCCATAAGCCCCTCTGCGCTCTTTGGAAACAAGAACCCAGACGCAGACCCTGGGCGCTGTACCCGTCTGTTGGCCGCGAATCCAGCAGCCCTCAGCTGTTAGGACCGTGCTGAGAAGTGGGTCCCCGAATGCCCTGGACCACGACTGTGGCGTCAGGCCGCTGCCCAGCTCCCTGCTGTGAGGCCAAGCCTCCCTCTCCCAGAGCCTGTGATCTCTCACAGTCTCCAGCGTCTCTCTCCTTGCACACCAGATCCACAAGTGCGAAGGAGGAGGAAGCAGCTGCCCACCAGTTACAGAAATAGCCACTGGGGCCGGGCGTGGTGGCTCAGGCCTGTAATCCCAGCACTTTGGGAGGCCGAGGCGGGAGGATTTAGGCTTTAGGCCAGGAGTTTGAGACCAAACTGGGCAACATAGTGAGACCCCGTCTCTACAAAAATACAAAAATTAGCCAGGCTTGGTGGCGCGTGCCTGTGGTCCCAGCTACTTGGGAGGCTGAGATGGGAGGATCGCTAGAGCCCGGGAAGTGGAGGTTGCAGTGAGCTGAGATGGCACCACTGCACTCCAGTCTGGGTGACAGAGCCAGACCCTGTCTCAAAAAATAAATAAAAAAAAAAAAGTCTACTGATGGTAAGGAAGAAGGCGAGCTCAGCACGGCCTTAGTAGTCACGGTGTGGCTGAAGGTGGGGCTGGAAGCCGAGCAGGACTCACTGTTTTGGAAGGCATGAAGGTGTGTGTGGGTCTCGGAAAGCTTTTACGTTCGTGGGTTAAAATAGGGCTGTGGTAAATGAACCAGTGGAGCTGATGCAGACATTTGCAGCTGCGATGCAGCTAATATCTTATTGACACAGGATGGCCTGGAAATGAAGAACTTGCTGTGCCAATTTGCAGCGATTGTCTCATGACGATTCTCTACGCTGCGCAGCATGTCAGGCTTTGAGTGTTTAAATGGAGGGTAATGATTTTAGAAACATTTCTCCAACGCCTTTGATTATTAGTGAGTGGGCACATGTGTATTGGGTTGGGGTTGAGAGAGGGCACAGCGGTGACTCCGGAGAGTGTCGGTGGAGGTCTTCCTGGCTGTTGTCAACACCCGGTAACACTGAGGTTCCCTGGCAGGAGGGGAGGAGGGGAGGAGAGAAGGAGGTCACAGGCTTAGGAACTGAAAGGTGAACAGAGTTTGGGATGCCGGCACACACCTGTTGGGAAGCTCTGCCATCGGGTATGATGCCAGAGGATGGGTGGACGGTTCCGATGTGTCAGACATGTGGCCAGTCGTCCACACGGCTGAGGAAAGAGGCTGAGGAGGTGTGTTTTGCTATCTAACGTTGAGCCCTGGATCTTCCCAGGTTTAAGCTCCCTGGGCTGTACCCACCCCTAGCTAAGCGGGGTCTCCAGGTTGCACCTGAGGGACCCCAGCACAGAGGCTCAGGAAAGGATGTGAGTGGAGGGAGGGGGCCCCCACTGTGAGGCTCAGGTATGTCCACCTGGTGAGCCCCCTCCCCACCCCCATGGCAACGCTAACTTCCCGTCACCGTGGCTGCCTTCATCCCGTGTTTTCTGATGTTGGCTCTGCACCAGAGTGTGCAAGCCTGGGGTACGGCAGCTGCGTCCTTGGCTGGACCTCTCCTGACGTGCTCCCCACTCCACATTGACTGGGGCTGGCTCCCCATCTCTATCTGTTGATCAGACACAAAGCTGACGGCCCGCTTTCCTGAGTGCCAAGACACCCAGCGTTGTGCCAGGCACTGTGGGGACAAGGAAGATTCGGCACATTGTCTACCTGGAGGATTTCATAATTTTAATGATCGAGGAAATAGTTCACACAAAGGAAACTGTAAAAATTAATATGCAATCAAGGTGGAGGGCTCTGATCTATCTATAAATGGTGTAGAATTTCAGAGAAGAGAGGGAAAAGATGGTATTGGGTGGGGCTTTGAATATTGGGTAGAAGCTTTGGGTGGTTTAGCCTGGGGCTAATCCTGGCGTGGTTCTCAGTTTGCAGGACTGGGGGGAAATGGTGGCGTGCCCCACTGGTGTGATGATGTAGAGGAATGACACTTGTGACTTCAGGCACTTTTCATCCAAAGAGAGAGCTGGAAAAAACACAGCTCCTCCCCCTCAGAGCATAGACAACATGTTTGCCTATAAATACACGTGCACATAAAGTCTGTTATCAAGAGCAGAGGATGGGATGACAGCGGCTGGGGGCTCCGAGGAGGTGGCCACCTCTTGGGACTGCAGGGCTCTCACTGGAGTGGTCGCTGCAGGTCAAAGGCCCAGTGTTCCAGATGCTTCCACGGATGCAGCCCAAGCGCACACCAATCGCACCTCCTCCTCCAGGCTGGCTCCCCCAAGGCCAGCATCTGCCCCAGACTTAGCTTATGACTCCACAAAGGCGATTTATAGCTGTGCAGCCTCAGGCTTAGTGCATTGACCCTCTGTAGATTACTGACGACAAAGTATTGGGCTGTGATACCAGGCAGATCTTTTTCACTTTGCCTCCACAGCAGTCTAAAATTGACCAGTAGATTTAACTGAAGTTCTTTTCAAAAGAGCATGTAATCTGTGTCGGTCGGGTTTTAAACACTGGGGCCAGGATATTGGGTGGGATATGTTCTTTTGACTTTCATGCCTTCTGCATGTCTTGGGCATGGAGCTCTGGCTCTGGAAACGTGTGCAGTGCTGCCCGCCTTGGGCCCTTCGCGATCTGAGAAATGTGAGCGTGCTTTGTCCCCAACAGGCTCCACAGCCAGAGGCTTCGGCAGCAGGTGAAATCCACTGCTCCTTTTTAGCTGGGCATTTGGAGATCAGAGCCTGGGGAGTGAGCGTTGGCCTCGGGGGACACCTGAGATAGCCTTGCGAGGTCTGCTTTCCTGAAGATGATGAGAGGAAAGCAAAGCCCTTGATGGGAGGATATTTAATTTAAGGCGACAAAAATTTGTCATATTCCATTTTTAAAGACATCGTGCCTAAGTAATAAGACTTCAAAGTTGAGTGAGTCAGACTTTACCCTTGGGGAGTGGTGGATGCTGTGATGTGTCACCCGGATTGTCCAGAATAAAGAGCTGGTCCCCCAGCAGACAGCTCTCAGCTGCTGGCTCCCTCTGGGATTGCCTGGGCTGCAGAGAGCCAACCCTAACCCTAACCCTAACCCTAACCCTAACCCTAACCCTAACCCTAACCCCCACCCCTCGCCACCCCCACTTCCTGAAGTCAGTGACTAGTTGAAGTGTGGGGAAAAGGGGCAGTAAGATCACCGCCTCCTGCTTCAACCTGGACAATTCTAAAATGCTGTCTCTGCCTCCATGCCTGCCTCGCAGCATCGGCTGAGGTCTCCATTCAGACTGCGTCACAGCCACAGGCAACTTCTCCCTTGGCCCAGTGGGGCCCCTTTCCCTTCTCTTCCTTTCCCCTTCCCTTCCTGCAAATCCCAAGAGCAGCCCCCAGTATACCCCCTGTAAGCTCATCTCCACTCAGAGTTGGCTTCCTGGAACCTTTCTGACATAGGAGCTCACAGTTTTGCAAAGGAGGCAGATGCAGCCAGGTGATGGCGGCACAGCCAGCAGCCCAGAGGTGTGCACACCTGGAGCATGGGAGAATCCAGAGGGGCTTCCATGGGCATCGGAGCCTCCACTCTGGGGTCACATTAATGCTGAAGCTTTAAGGACCTCTGAGGATGTAGGAGTTTCCCAGATGGCCTTGTACAGAGAGGCAAAGACACAGACGGGTGGGGCTAGAGGAAGCTGAGCGCTGTAGCCAGAGAGTGGGGATGGTGGTGAGGGAAGGTGGAGAGATGAGCAGGAGGTGGAGTTTGGGGACAGGTTGTCAAGAGCCTGAGTGCAGCTCAGGAGTGGCAATTTTGCTCTGTAGCCGGGGGTGGGGGGCAGCTGGGAGTAGGAAGGAATTCAAGCATAGAGCATGATGAGCATCTTAAGTAAGAAAGACCATTCAGATCACGCAGTTCACAGCCTGGGGGATGGGAAGCAAGGTCTCCACTGATGGCTGGAAGCCTCAGTTTCTCCTCTCTGCCTATTTAAATGCTCCTGGGCCTTTAGGATCCCATCTCCCTTGCATGGATTTCTCCCTTCCTAAACTCCACCAGACCTCCTGGTGTGCAGTACACAGCCCGGCTCGCAGAATCCTGTGTGTCCACAGCCCATCCTGTGGCATTGCCGGCAGTCCCTGTAGATTCCTCAACCACAGGCTGTGCCATCTTTGGGGCTGCCTGTACTGTGTGGATAGATCCAATCTGACGTTGGCTTCCTTTAATCACGATAAGGAAGATGCTTCAAGAAACCAAGATACAGAAGCTGGCAGCCTGTGGGGTGCTCTTGATATGCCATGGAGTGCGGCGCTCGGCCCCGGCTGAAGTGGGGACCTTCAGGTGTCTGAGCAGCACCCTGTCCTGAGGTGCTGGAGCTTGGGCACAGGGCCACGGGCAGAGGGAAGCCTGGCCACCTTTCCAGTAATGGCAAATAGGCATTTTCAGACAACCAAAGATGCGAGGTGGACACCAAGGACAACTTCCTTTTGCCTTTTTGTGGAATACAAAGGGTGCATTTCTCCCTGATTTATTACTTTTCTCTGGGCAGAAAATGTCCACCTTGGAGAAATCCAGTTACAGCTTTCTTTGTCTCTAATCTGTACTGTTAGAGCGAACTAAATGTGTCCTGAAAAGGACTCTGTGCTGCTGTATTTGAGTCCTTGTGGACAAACTGCAACCTAACTTAATAGGTAGACAAGATTGAAACCCTAACTTAGGAGTGTGTGCCTGTCACAATCACCGAGTCTTGCTCAATCGGAGCAGCCACACTTCAACCAGTCATTCCCTGCCGAGTGCTCGGACTGTGTCCAAATAAGCCAAATGCCGAGCTGTAACCAGTCCAGCTGCTTCTGTCCCTCACCTCCGATTTCTGTAGGTCACTTTACTTTTTTGGTCTGTAAGTTTGTTCTGACCACGAGGCACCCCTGGAGTCTCTCTGAATCTGCTGTGATTCTGGGGGCTGCCCGATTCATGAATTATTCATTGCTCAATTAAACTCCTTTAAATTTAATTTGGCTGAAGTTTTTCTTTTAACAGTACCCACAAGAAAGAACAAGTAAGCAGGATTCCTGCCAGTGGGAGCAAAGCTCAGGGACGTGTGGGTGCTTTGTGTACTTCCTGAGCGCAGTGTAGGGCCTGTCCCGGGAGAATGCTGGTACCTGGGCTGGGCCTTGCTTCAGAGCCAGGGTCAGATGGTGAGGCCCACTTGCTCCTGAAGATGAGAAAAGGATGACAAAGAAGCACCATGCGCTTCAGTCCCCTTTAGGAGCTTCCCCAAGTAGCAACCATTACATGATTTATTAGTCCTTCAGATATTAGTAGAGGACCTGTTATCTGCCTGCACTGGACTTTGCTGTGGCTGCCATATCAAAGCACCACAATCTGGATGCTTTAATTTAACAACAGAGATTTCTTGCCTTGCAGCTCCTGATGCTCAAGACCAGGCTGTGGGCAGGGCTGGTTCCTTCTGAGGCCTCTCTCCTTGGCTTGTAGATGCCGTCATCGTCTCTACCTGACACCCTCCCTGCTGGGTGTCTGTGTCCAGACGCCCCCATTTTATAAGGACTCCAGTCATATTGGAGTAGGGCCTGCCCTTACTGCCCGTATTTTAACTTCTGCAAAGACCATGTGTACAAATAAGTTCGCATCCTGAGGTGCTGGGGGTTAGGACTTCAGCATATGAATTTTGGGGGCTGGGGGGACACAGTTTAACCTGTAATGGTTGACAAGGTCTGATGTTCTTTTCCCTTTTACTGTGTGTCTCTCTCTGCCAGGCTGCATCACTCCGCCCCAGCACTATTCCGTGGGGTGGCCTCTCCCTGCCACTGCTCAGAAGGTGGTTTCAGCTCCCCGCTCCCCCTCCAGCCACCACTCCATGTTTTCCACTCGCACGTTCTTTTATGTTTGTTATTTTATTTGTGTCCTGAAAAACGGCCACCAGGTTCCCCAAGTTGTCATCACTCTATTCACTTGTACACTGGGGAGGGGTGGAGAGAGGGACAGATGATTGCGGGGGCGGGGGGCAGGTTTATGGGGACGGACAGACACACACAGACATACACACAGTAAAGGGGAAAAGGACATCACCTTTACCTTGGTCTATGTCTATATTTATCTACATCTGTGCCTATGCCGACGTCTATATTTATATCTGTATTTATGTGTACATCTAGAGCTCTGTCTATATTGACATGTGTATTAGTCTGTTTTCACACTGCTGATAAAGACATACCTGAGACTGGGTAATTTGTCAAGAAGAAGCGGTTTAACAGATTCACAGTTCCCTGTGGGTGGGAGGTCCTCACAGTCATGGTGGAAGGTGAAAGGCACATCTTACATGGCAGCAGGCAAGAGAGACAGTGAGCGCCAAGCAAAAGGGGTTTCCTTTTATAAAACCATCAGATCTCGTGAGACTCATTCACTACCAAGAGAACAGAATGGGGGAACCACCCCCATGATTCAGTTATCTCCCACTGGGTCCTTCCCACAGCAGGAGGGAATTCTGGGAGCTACAATTCAAGGTGAGATTTGAGTAGGGACACAGCCAGCCCATATCAACATCAATGTCTCTCATGTCTATATGTATATAATTTGTAAAAGTGACAGCAGACCTCCTGAGACCGTGTGAGTGTGGATTTCATTCCCTAACCAGCTCAGTGTCAGGGGTGACATGCTGGGGAGAGGGACATGGAGCAGGTGTGACCGGCAGTACTCTGGTGGGGTGGTTTTGTGTGACCTGTGGATCCGTCTCCCTCCCTGCAGACACCTGCCCACCCCAGCCCATGGCCTCCAGTGTCTCCACACCATCTCTTCCCTGCACCTTCTCTTGGTGAGGAGCTGGAGGTGCAGTGCCCAGTGGCCCTGTCCTGAACCAGGACTCCAGCTGCCTCTCTTGTGTCCTTTCCTAAATGAAAAAACTTTCTCAGTCATGCTTGGAGCTAATAACTTTTTCTCAGGTGGGAAAATGTAAAATACGTCTGACATTTGCAGTTCTAGTATGCGCTGCATGAAACGCGGTCAGATTGTGTTTCCCCCTCCATGCCTGTCTCAGGGCTGGGCCCCTAGCAGGGACCCGGAGAGGACTCAGTGCCTTCCTGGGCAATTTTTTCCGCATGGGAGAGTGACTTCTGGGGCAAAAGGGCAGGAGGCTGTGTGGCTTTAGGAATATGTTTGCAAAGGTTCTTTTTGCAGTCTGGAAACCATCTGGCAGTGTCAGCTGGACTGTTTTTAAAAAACGAAATCACCTGTCCAAACGTTCTAGTTTAGAGCTGCAGAAGCTGTTTTGGTTTCAGGCTGTTTTGCAGGATGATTTATTTAGAACAGAGCCTGTAAGAACCAGCTCTGTGCAGCTGGAGCAGGCCTGGGCCACATGTAGGAACTAAATCACCCTGGTTTACTCGGCTCTCTCCTCTGTAGTGGAGCCACTGCCCCTTGGGCCCTGGGGCCTCGTGCCTCATCAGAGAAGCTCAAAGTGTTTGCGTTTCTGACCTGAGCAGCTCTGAAACAAGAGAACGCTGCAGCTCCCCTGTAGAACTATATGCTTCCAGAGTGTTCTGTTGGGAACCTCTGAAGCGACTCTCACAGCTAACAGCTAATGTATGCAAGGATCCTCCTGGGCCTGTCCCCTTCCTCACCATGAGGTACATCAGATTCAGGAAAGATAATCACGTCTGGCTGCGTCACTCTCAGAACGACTCCACTGTGGCCTCCCACTGTCACTGCCTCCCCATACCCCCCAGCCACTGCTCCGTGTTTCCACTCCGCCTGCTTTTGGGTTTATTTTATTTGTGTCCCTAAAAATGGCCACCAGGTTCCCTGAATCGTCATCACTCTGTTCACTTCTACGCTTGGAGAGGGGTGGAGAGGTGGATGGATGTGTGGTTGGGGAGGGCAGGGCTGTGGGGGTCAGGGAGCGAGGGGGCCCATCTGTCCTGTGGGACCTGAAAGCAGGGCTGACGGGTATGGAGAAGGCGTCCGAGGCTCATGGGGGCTGTAGGATTTGGCCTAGGCTGAATCTGGGCCCCCGGGTAGCTGGGTGATGCCAGGGCTCTGTGAGGGATGGTGCTGGGAGTGGAGGGCAGGGCAGTGTGGGGCAGCTGAGCAGGCGATCAGAGCAGGTTGGGTGCCAAGCCCGTGGGCACTCCTGTAGGGAGTGGAGGGCTGGGCACACTCCTGGGAGAGCTACATGCCCACACGTTTCCGGGGGAAGCGGGCCTTGGAAACTGTGGGCAGGTTGGTGAGTTTGTGGTGAAGGGATGAAGGATGGGCTCAGGGATCTGACGGCAGGGTGTGTGCTGGGTGAGGTGGAGGAAGGGAGAGGATGCCTCTCAGCTTTGCCCTGCCCGTGTGGTGTGTGGCCGGCGCTGGTCTCGAGGGTCCTCAGGCCTGAGGTGGCCGTGGGGTAGGTCTGTGTGTCACACATGCAGCACTGGGGCCTGGCCCAGGTGCTTGAATATTCCAGGAGGTCGCATCTGAACCAGAGGTGGGCGTCTCTGTTCCAAAATAGAATCCCTGCTGCATCCGCTGGGGCGGCCGTCACACCCGAGGGAAGACTTTCCGTCCCATTACGGATGATATGGGGTGAGCCCCACACCATCCCGCTCAGGCCGCATGCCGCCCGCCATTCCGAGCCGTGTCCCGTCCTCTGTGTCGCCTCTCCCAGGGCTTTCCTTCCGCACCTGCCTGTCACCTGTTCACTGCAGCACCTCGTTAGGTGAGTAGCAGGCCAGGGTGACAGACGATGGCGGCGCTGACCTTATGAAGTTGGCGTTACGACAGACAGGACGGGCGACCTTTGTAAAGCAGCCTGGCTGGGAGCTTGGCTTTGGCTTGTCAATTCCCGTGGGCGTGTGCTGTGGCGGCGAAGAACGTGTGGGCATTCTGACCGTGCCATGACCAAAACCACACCGCCTACGGCCTGCGGTGGCAACAAGAAATCCGAGGTCGCGGAGACCACTGGCCCGCTCTGGCCTGCGGGCTGGCAGTAGAACTGGAAGGCACCTGGCAGTTCTTGCTTTATGTGACAGATATGAGTTCCCAGGAGGCCACAGGGATCAGCATGGATCCTGTCATGGAGAATAATGGCACTCATAGACGTGTCCTTCTATATTTTCCACTATCTATCAACATAATATTTTCAATAATTAGATAGATAATAACATACATTGAAGTGATATTAAAAACATATAACCTGCAGTGTGGGGCTGAGTAGGAGTTCTGGGAGACTGAGACCCAGTCCCAGCTCTGTTTCTTGCCAGGCAGGAGATCTTTGGCAGGTTACGTTACCTCCTGTGTGCCTCAGTTTCTTCTCCTGTAAAATGGAGACGATAATGGTATGTACATTATATGATTCTTGTGAGAATTAAATGAGTTTCCATGCTCAGCAGTGCCTGGCTCACTATAAATGCTTAATAACTTTTGGTTTAAGATGTTCCCTATAAAATGGAAGAGAGAAGAAATATGTGTGCAGCTTCCTTTACCTTCATAGGTCTGTAGGGCTTGCGAGAGAGACACAAATGATGTCTTTCTTTCTGAGAAGATGGTGGTGTTGATTGGCGGTGGTTGAAGGAAAGAGGCACAGGGAAAGGAATGGGGAGCAGAAGCAGGGAAGGGTCATTGTGACGACATCACTAAGACAATGGTGTTGAAAAGGAGCTGATACTGCAACTTCTTGAGGCTCAAACTTGATGCCTGCGGAGCAGAGATGGGGCCAAGCCTTCTCTTCACATAACTCCTGTGCTCTCAGGCTAGCACAGCCTGCCTGATGGTTCCACCATCTCTCTTTATGTCTCCTCATCACATCAAACCTACTCGCAAAGAGAAAGCCTTGTGTGGTTCCTGGCGCCAAAGCTTCCTGAAGATGATGTGACTTGTTGTCAGGCAAGCAGCTTGATAGGGAGAAGCCAGTCCCCCTGGGCAGTGCAGGAAAACCTGAGAGAGCTGCGGAGACCAAAAGAACAGGAGGGACTTCCTAGCGGGCGGGTGGGCAGGTGGGGGTTACTGCACCCCACGAGCTGCAGCTCACTGTCCTGTGCTGTGGGCCAGCCCGCATGCGTGGGTGCCAGAGGATTCCAAGGCTTTGGAGAAAACCTCCTAAAGAGAGGAGAGCTGCTGCCACCATCGGATCCAGACACTTTCACTGGGTGCCCGTTTGCGAGGTGCTCACGGTGGGGAACGAGATTTCACATTGTTTTCTGAAATGAACGCTCATACCTCCAATTAAACCTTACTTGTTTAGTTTTCAATAAGAAACGCCTAGACCCATAATCTAAGATATTTTTAAGCTAGCAAGATAATGTATTCAGTTTATATAAAGGTAATTTCATTCTCAAGAGATTGGTTAGGTCATAGTTACTGATTTAATTGTAACAAGGTTGGCAAGTGAATTCAATTTTCCATGGCAAACATTGTTCATAACTCTCAGAGAACTATGTGATCTGCTGTAACAGACATATTCTAACATATACAATTTCTTATCACTAACGTTTAAGGGAAGCATGAGTTGATGTAGATTGAAGGTCATGGGGAGGTAACGAGGACAAGCTCCCTGAGGATGGAGGCTGCATATCCTCTGTAGGATTACACTCATCGGACACAGAGCGTGTTAGTTACACTCATCGGACACAGAGCGTGTTCAATGTAATCTTTTTTTTTTTTTTTGAGATGGAGTCTCGCTCTCCCAGGCTGGAGTGCAGTGGTGCGATCTCAGCTCACTGCAAGCTCTGCCTCCCGGGTTCATGCCATTCTCCTGCCTCAGCCCCCTGAGTAGCTGGGACTACAGGTGCCTGCCATCATGCCCAGCTAATTTTCTTGTATTTTTAGTAGAGACGGGGTTTCACTGTGTTAGCCAGGATGGTCTCGATCTCCTGACCTTGTGATCTGCCTGCCTCAGCCTCCCAGAGTGCTGGGATTACTGGCATGAGCCACTGCGCCTGGCCTCAATTTAATCTTAAAGGAAACCTGTCCCCTTTGGCAGACAGAATGTTTTGTTTTGCCACAGTGCATGTTGCTATAACTTGAATTAACCATATGCAAGTGGCAAATAGGAGAATGTTTTCAGTGTAATGCAGAAATTACATTTTCACAGGTGATTTTTTCCTAACAAACTAGTAAAAGAAGAGCAAATGGAACTCAGTAAGTAGAAGAAAGGAATAATAAAGATAAGAGCAGAAATCAGTGAAATAGAGAGAAGATCAACAGTAGAGAAAATCAATGAAGCCAAAAGTTGGTTCTTGGAAAAGATCAACACAGTTGATACATCACTGGCATGACTGTTTGGGGAATGAAGAGATAAAGCTCACGTTACCGCTGTCAGAACAAGAGGGAATATCCTACAGGTTCAGCAGACATTACAAAGATAATAAGAGAATATTGTGAACAATTTTATGCCAAAAGATTCTACAATTTAGATAAAATTGAAAAATTCCTTGGAAGACACAAACTATCAGAACTGACTCAGGAAGGATTAGATCTACTGAATATTCCTGAGTCTGTTAAACAATTGAATTTGTAATTAACAGTCTTCACATAAAGAAAACTATAGCTCAATTCGTGAATTGTACCAAAATGTAAAGAAGAAATGATATGAATTCTACACAAACTCGTAAAACTGAAGAGGAGGGAACAGCTGCCGGTTCACTCTATAAGGCCAGCATTACAAGCATTGCATGGATTCCTACGCCAGAAAGAGGCTTCACGAGAAACTGGAGCTGCCGGTCATTATCCATCATGAACCCAGAGGCACATATGCTTTCAAATGTTAGTAACGCGAATCTACAAATATATAAAAATTGTATATTTATCTAGTTATATGTTAATTATATGTATAAATTTATATATCCCCACCATGACCATGATGGTTAATTTTAGATGTTCTCTTGACTGGGTTAGGGGACGCCCAGTTCGCTGGTGAAGCACGATTTCTGGGTGTGCCTGTGAAGGTTTGCAGAAGAGATTAGCCTTTGGATCAGTGGGCTGAGTAAGGAAGACCCACCTCACCAATGTGGGAGGCGCCATCCAATCTGACGGAGGACCTGGGTAGAAGCAGGGCCAATTTATCCCCTATTCTGGCTTTGGACGTCAGAACGGCAGGTTCTCCAGCCTTTGGACTCTGAGGTTTACACCAGCAACCACTCCTCTTCCCCTCAGGCCTTAGGACTCAGACTGAATTATATCACCTACTTTCCTGGTGTCTAGCTTTCAGATGGCATAGTGTGGGACTTCTCGGTCTCCATAATTTCGTGAGCTAATTCCCGTAGCAAATCCTCTATCTATCTATCTATCTATCTATCTATCTTCTATCTGATCTACCTATCAGCTGTTATCTGTCATCTATCATTTCTATCAATCATGTATCATCTATTACCTATCATCTATCAATTATCTATCAATCATCTATCTATTGATCGATCGATCTATTGATTGATCAATTGCTCTCTCTTTTCATTCTGTTTCTCTGGAGAACCCTAATACCACAACCAAGAGGAGTTTATCCCAGGAATGTAAAGTTGGTTTAACATTCAAAAATCAGTGTAACTCACCATATTCACAAATTAAAAAATAAAAAAATATGATGATCTCAATGATGCAGAAAGAATATTTGAGGAAATCCGATTATCTGTTTCTGAGGAAAACCTTCAGAACTGTTCTCTGGGCTGCGGTGACTGTTCCCTCCCTCACCCCTTCTGACTGGGGATGATAAGATTCTCCACTGATACTGGCTCTGACAGCCTCGCCGTCTTTTCTTGATGTCTCATAACCCTGCCCGCACCTTTAGGAATATTCCCTCTGTTAAACTCTTCAATCTCCCCCTTTGAGTGTGCCATTTATTTCCTTCTGGGACCCCGACTGATACAGTCTATCTTGAAATAATTTATAAAATCAGAACTACACTACATATTTAGGAATGTGCTTAGTGAATCTCTATTTGATAAATCACAATAGCATTACATATATTTCTGAAATTGTATGCACAGTGCATCCTGTTTATTCAGGGTTCAATCGATGCTTGGGTTAGGTTCCTTGTAATTATTTCTCAGGCTCCACCAGAGATCGAAAGCCGTGAGCCTAGGAATCCATCTGATGGATCACTGGAGATCGGAGTGGAGAAGCACAATTACTGTAGCCTTGAAGATGACTTGGGACTCAAGTCGTGGTCCCCAGCCTGGCCGGTGAGCAGAATCACCGAGCCCTTTAAAAACGGGGATTCCCAGGCTTCACCCCGTCCCTTCAGAGTTTCGCCCTGGCTGTTCTGAGGACCGACATGTTTGAGATCAAAGATTTAAGTGACTGAGAGTCTCCTACAGGGAATGGGGAGTTTGGTTCATCAAAGTTTGACTTTTGAAAACAAAGGTCAGCACTGGGAACGAAGAGTTCATTTACGGCAAAGCTAAAGTTGGTCAGGCAGCATCAGGGCTCAGGTAGCTCCAGCCTTTTTTCCCTTCCTGGATACGTGGAAGACTATTTTCCAGCCCCATGGAGGTGACAGATTCTGGCCAATGGACTGGAAGCGGAAGTGACTGTGTCACCCAGGGGGAAGCAGGAAAAACTGGTGTGCTATTCTTTATGCTCCCCTCCCTCCTGCAGTTAGCCTGGAAGTCACATTCAGAGGGAAGGACCACCAGACCCAAGCGATTTGTGTCGTGAGCAGTCACCTGCAGTACAGCGCCAGGACAGTCTCCCAGACACAGTGGGCTCCGCGTGAGCACAAGATAAACCTCAATGGACAGTCCAGAACTGATGATCATCCCAGCAAAACCCAGCTTAGCTCAGCTGATTTGCCATTATCGAGATATTGCTCAACTAATATGAATTATAATCCAAAAAAATGATATAGCGTCATGGGAAAATGCTTATAATACAAGGTTAAGTGAGAAAATCAGGCTACAACATTGCTTGCGTTTGATGTATGCTTACATAAAAATACACATGCACTTGGACCCATGCTGGATAGGAATATACAAAAATGAAAATACTTGTATTAAACTGATGGGAATTATGAGTTTTTAAATTTTAAATTTAACTTCATTTAATTTTACTTTAAGTTCTGGGATACATGTGCAGTACGTGCAGGTTTGTTACATAGATATACATGTGCCATGGTGGTTTGCTGCACCTATCAACTCGTCATCTAGGTTTTAATTCCCACATGCATTAGGTATTTGTCCTAATGCTCTCCTCCTCTTGCCTCCCACCTTCTGACAGGCCCCGGTGTGTGATGTTCCCCTCCCTGTGTCCATGTGTTCTCATTGTTCAACTCCCACTTATGAGTGAGAACATGTGGTGTTTGGTTTTCTGTTCCTGCATTAGTTTGCTGAGAATGACGGTTTCCAGCTTCATCCTTGTCCCTGCAAAGGACGTGAACTCATTCTTTTTTATGGCTGCATAGTGGTAATTATGAGTTATTAAAGAGAAAATAATTTTGCCTTTGAAATCTTTGAAATGTTTATAACAGTTTCCTCCTCTTCTTACTTTTTTCTTTTCTCCACCTCCTCTGCCTTTTCAAAACACATTTTTCTAAACTGGGGAGCAGGCATTGCTTCTTGACAGTGTCGAGAAGAGCACGGGTACTCTGCTCCCATGTGAAGAGACGGCACAGGGGAGGGGACGCCAGGCAGCCTGTGCCACCAGAGCTGCATCGCAGCCGCCCTGGAGTGAGGGCATTTGGATGTCATGAAGTTCTTTGAGGATTTGAATGAGATTCTTGGAAAGTAAACTTAGACTTCAGATTGGTTATTTTTATGCTGTTCATGTTTTCCATAATTATCATTTTTGCCTTTCATTAGTTTTTAGCTATGTTCCATCAGAAAATAATTAGCCTAAGGCAGTGGTTCTCAACTAGGGACAGTTCTGCTTCCCAGGAGACATTTAACTCATGTCTGGGGACAGTTTTGATGGTGTGACTGGCATTTAGTGGGCGGAGGCCAGGGACCTGCTGGATGTCCTATGACGCACGGGATGGCCCCACACAAGGAATTTCAGGGCTCCAGTGTCAGCAAGGCCTGCAGTGAGGCACGCTGGTCTAAGAGAAAAGAAGAAAAGGTTCTTTGTTTTTTTCTCTTCCTGCATCACAGCTTTGTAGGAGGAGCAGGGTGTTTCTACTCCGATAACTGATAGCCTTGGAAAATCAAAATCTAGGCCGGGTGCAGTGGCTAACACCTATAATCCTCATGCTTTGGGAGGCCAAGGCGGGAGGATTGCTTGAACCCAGGAGTTCGAGGCTGCAGTGAGCTATGATTTCAGCATTGCACTCCAGCCTGGGGGACAGAGAGACTCTGTCCCTAAAAATACATACATACATACATTGAGAACTTCAAGGAAAGATGAAGGTTCAGGTGGCCACCACTTTTCACAGGGGAAGGAGAGAGTGAAATCTTTATTGGAAAATCCTGTGTGTCAGGAATGTACTAATTACTAAGCATAATTACCGGCTGTGGCCAGCTCCCAGCCCACCCAGCACGGTCTTCCCATCTGCTTGCAAGGTTGTGCTGGCTTTTAGGGAAGATTCTTTTCTTCATTTCTCCTATGCTGTTCATGTTTACATCCTTCTTTGGTGACAGGCAGGACTAGGGTCTCATGGGAAGGGTGAGTTTTTGGGGGAGCCAAGGGGAAATCACGGGGAGGGGAATGGGGTGCTGGAAACCGAGCTCACTGGCTTCATGAAGGTGCTTGACCTTGATCTCTATCCTTCTCATTAGGAGTGCATTCATAGCATTCTTTCTGCAAATTCTGAAGGTCGAATGAAACGGAAATTGCTGGGAAACTGCCAAGAGCCTCATTAGAGCTAGTGGCATGTACTTTGTGTATTTTGTAGGGGGTGTGGAGATGCGACACCCAGCACCCCCAGGAGGGATCTGCTGCTCTAACTGCTGGGGGCGGGGCTGTCAGGTTCTGTCTCTGCGGGGGCGTCACTGCCACTGCGGTCACCCCTCCCTGGGGTGGCCACCTCCCAGGGCTAATTGCAGGTACGAGAGGACTCTGTGGCATCACATCACCCCAGGCCTCCCTTCACAGGGCCTGCGTCTCCTTTTGACGTGTCCCTCTCCCCAGCCCTCCACAGGTGCTCGTGCCTGGCAGGCATCTGTCACCTGGAGCCATCTCAGTGTGGGGCAGGGAATAGGGTACTCAAGAGGCTCAACTCTCTCAGCATCCAAGGGCTTCTGGAAGGCACTGAATGTCAGACTGACTGACAAAAACAAGCCACCAAGGAATGGAAATGTCGAAGCCATTGGACACAGAGCCCTGGAAGCTGCTGAGACGCCGTGTTTGGTTGGGGCTTCCTCCTGTGCTGATGATTCCTATCGGGCCATATATTTCCTGGCTGCGCTTCCCCGACAAGATGAAGTGCATTCCTGACACACAGAACTTTCCAATAAAGATTTCATTGTCTCCTTCCTCTGTGAAAAGTGATGAGTGAACTTGATATTTCTCTGTTCAACCTTCATCAATAAAAAATGTTTCTGGTTGGGTTATTCCTGTTGATTCTTAATGAAGTGGCGTTTTATGAGGTGCCATTCAGTCCTGAACTTCAGAAAGAGCCAGGGATCTTTGGCATGCTAAAGTGGGTGCTTGAAACTTGGAAATGTATATTAATGGCTGTATGCATACATAACACGGGAGGTAAATACGCAGTTATCAGGGATTTAATACACCTCACCCCGAAAAGGATATATCACACATTAAAGTGTAATTACCCGCTGGAAATAGAAATAGACGACCTGCCAGACCAGATTTATCACCCGGACTCACATACATCAGCCACTGAACCAGATCTAGCACCCGTCGACTCTGACAGATCGCCGCCCCACCCAGACACAAAGCAACTGATTTATCCACAGCACCAGTATACTCAGTCGGTGACCACCCTTTGACTGGCATATATTGTCACCTAGTGAAAAATACCTTTGTGACAAATCACACTGGCTGAAAGTGAAATCCACTGTACAGTATGTTTAACTCAGCCAGGGTTGCCTGGAATGGGCGGGGGTTGGGGGGGTGTTGGCTGGCCTGGCTCTCAGGGCCCTGGCAGGAGGCTGGTTGTGGTGTGGGGAGAGGTGGCCCTCAGTTCATAAGTCGGTCAGCAATGGTGCATGGCACGCGCCAACCACAGCTCCCTGCAGATGCCTCCCAGGACCATGGATGAGGCTGTCTCAGAGCTGGCTGCATCCCCCTGCAGACCAGAGGTGGCTCCCTTGCTGGCTGTGGGGCCCAAGGGCAGGAGGCCGCTGCAGAGGGGAGCAGGTTTCACCGTGTGCCTTGATGAGCTCAGCCTATGCGACTCCTTTTCTTTAACCTTCAGGGACCATTCTGTGTGGGGTGTGGGAGGGGTAGAGAGCTGCCCTTCTGTGCGCGTCCCTAGGGTTGCTCTCGGAGGCCTTCCTCCTCCCAGGCCATCCTTGGTTACCCTCTAATTTCCAGCGGGATGTGCGCACAGATGCCCACGCGCAGGTGTGTGTGTGTAGTGAATGTGTGTGCTGTGTTTGTGTGTGAGGTGATGGTGGTGGTAGTGTGTGTGTTAGTGTGTGTATCTGCTGTGCTTGTGTGGTTAATGTGTATGCCTGGTGTGTATGTGTATGTGTGTGAGCTGGTGTGTGTATACGTGTGTGTGTGTGGTTAATGTGTTGTTCATGTATGAGGTGATGGTGGTAGTAGTGTGTGTGTATGCATCTGGTGTGTGTACGGTTAGTGTGTGAGTTGGTGTGTGTGTGGTTAATGTGTGTTGTTTGCGTGTGAGGTGATGGTGCTGGTAGTGTGTATGTTACAGTGTGCATCTGGTGTGTGTGTGTGCGTGTGTGGTTAGTGTGTGGGTTAGTGTATGTGTGTGAGTTGGTGTGTGTATGCATGTGTGTGTGGTTAGTGTGTGTTGTGTTTGTGTGTGAGGTGATGGTTGTGTGCACGTTAGTGTGTGCATCTGTGTGTGTGTGTGGGGTTAGTGTGTGTTAGTGTGTATGTCTGGTGTGTGTGTATGTGAGTTGGTGTGTGTATGTGTGTGGTTAGTGTGTGTTGCGTTTGTGTGTGAGGTGATGGGGGTGGTAGTGTGTATGTTAGTGTATGCATCTGGTGTGTGTTTGTGGTGTGTGTATGTGTGTGAGCTGGGGCGTGTGTGTATACCAGGTAGTATTTGCTTCAGGCTGTAGGTTTACATGGACTGCTGAGCCTGAGCTAGGACTTGAGGAATGTGGACCAGGGAGCTAGAGGCTTCAGTAGGAAGTACTTCTTTATTTTACAGTCAGAGAAACTGTGTTCTGAAGAGAGTAGTGATTTGGAGAACCAAGCTCTCCTGAGTCTCAGCCCAGTGGAGAGGCCACTCTCCACCGAGTATCACCTGAGTCTTCCAGATGTATGCAGTAGGTGTGGCTCATTACTGCAGCAGCAGGTGAGAAATGTGGTGTTCCACAAGGCTGCTGGAAGACAGATAACTGTTTTTTGCACCAACTGAGCCTAAAGCTGCATTTAATTCCAGGCTCTGTCAGTTAGAAGTGAGGTATGCAGAAGGTGCCAGCATTTGAAACTTGATGGATAAAAGAAGGTCATTAAGGAACACAAACTTCAAAGTTAATTTGCCACCGTTTTTTTTTTTTTCACAACACTTGCCTTTACCATTATGTATAGAAAGGGGCAGGGGGTCTGTTCCCACTCCCACCATAAGACTTGAGCACCCACAACCAGTGACTCTGTCTTTGCCTCTAACAAATTGATTGGGGGGAGGGGAGGGGACATCATGGGGAGGTAGCCCAGCTGGGAACGAATGACACACATTTCTGTGCTGTGGGCTCAGGGAGGCAGCAGGAGAGTAATATAAAGATCTTGCTTCCAGTCCTGGTTACGCCACAGTCTAAAGTCTGTCACAGACAAACAAGACAAAGAGAGGAGATGAAGGAAGCTGATGACTGCATTTGGGAGACATCCAAAGAGGGTGCATGACAGAGGACAACAGGACTGTGATGTGCTGCTGGAGAAAATTCAAAATTAGGAACGGGGAAATAAAAGGAAATGAGACTGTCCCAAATGAAAAGACAGGTATGTGGGAAGGTATGCCCTATAATAGCAAAGAGGGTGAAAAGAAAAGACAATTGGGGCATGGAAACATCGCCTAAATTTTAGCACCATCATCATCACCATCATCACCATAATCACCATCACCAGTATCATCATCATCACCATCTTCATCACCACCATCACCATCACTATCATCACCATCACCACTATGATCATCACCATCACTATCATCATCACCATCACCACTATCACCATCATCATCATCACCACCATCACCATCACCACTATCATCATCATCATCATCACTATCATCACCATCATCATCACCACCATCACCATCACCACTATCACCATCATCACCATCATCACCATCACCACTATCATCACTATCATAATCATCACCATCATTATCACCATCGTCATCACTATCATCATTGTCACCATCATCACTATCATCACCATCACCATCATCACCATCACCACCATCATAATCATTACTATTGCCATCATTGTCACCATCATATCATCATCATCACCACCATCATCACTATTGTCATCATCACTACTATCACCATCATCACTGTCATCACCATCATTGTCACCATGATCATCATCACCATCATAACCATCACCACCATCATCACCAACATCATCACTATTACCATTGTCACTATGATTGTCACCATCATCGTCATTACTATCATCACCATCACCACTGTCATATCACCATCATTGTCACCATCATCATCATCACAATCACCATAATCATCATCACCACCATCATCACCAACATCATTACTATTACCATCTTCATCACCATCATTATCACCATCATCATCACTATCATCACCATCATCATCATCACCATCACCATTATCATTATGACCACCATCATCACTGTCGTCAGTATCGTCACCACCATCATCATTATCATCACCACCATCACCGTCATCATCACCATCATTATCATCACTATCATCATCACTACCATCATCATCATCACCATTATTATCACCATCATCAACATCATCATCACCACCACCATCACCAACACCATCATCACCACCACCATCACCAACACCATCATCACCACCACCATCACCAACACCATCATCACCACCACCATCATCATCATCACCGTCATCACAATCAGCAGCATCATTATTCTTACCTTCAGCACCAGCACCATCATCATCCTTACTTGTGCAGAACATTGAAGGTTACAAAGTAGTTTCACAGTCGAATGTAATCAATTTGCATGACCTTCAAGGCGTGGTTTATTATTCTTATTTTATCAGCGGAATAATGAGGCTCAGGAAGATCAGAGCCTAGGCCATCTGATTTCAAGTATGGCAAAAATGAGTGATCTAGAGAACATAACGTAGAACCTGGAAGGCCCACGATGGGCCAATCAGGCCACACGTGGCTCTCAGCTGCAGGCATCCTCTGAAAGGCATGGTCCCACCCACAGGTGGTCTGTGGAACCTGGAGCCACTAGTCATGGGAGCTGACTGGGCCTGGACAACCCATGACAATCTCTAATCTCAGGTCAGAAACGAGAAAACAGTAAGGAAAGGGGGGACAGGACTTCGTGAAAGTGATAGAAGGACCCATGCAAACTTCAATTGCTACTGAAATAAAAAGAAGCAAAGAAAAGATCGTGGTTGCTATGAATAGAAGTGCATCACCCCAGGATTTTCCAATTTGGACAATTTTCCAGAACCATAAAATGGAGATAATAGTACCTGTTTCACCAGGTTGTCAAGAAGATAATATATGTAAAGTGCTTAAAACAATGATAATAGCTCATGGTAAGAGCTCAACCAATGTTAGATGCTGTTCTTGTTGCTCTCTTCCCCCTTCCTCCCTTTTCTTCCTCCTTTTCACTTTTTCCTTTCCTCTCCCTTCTCCCCCTTCTCACCCTCCTTCTCCTTCTCCTCCCCCTCCCCTCATCTCCTCCTCCTCATTTTTTCCTCTTATTCTTGGCCAGGCTGGGGTGCTGGGACAGAGCAGAGGAGTGGCCATTGCTGTTGGTGGCTGTGCGGTACCCAGGAAGCTGAGTGCAGGAGGCCAGCTTGTCCTCCCACTTATAACCAAGGGCTCCACTCACCCCGGGCCCACAGGCTGCTCCTCTAATGTCCACTGGTTGGAAAGGCAGAGAGGGCTTTTCCCAGGCCCAAGACCTCCATGTGGAGAAGGCCCTCAGCCTTCTTCCCCAGGGAGTAACTGAAAAGTGATGTGATGTTCTCCCCGCCATCTTCCTGGGTAAATATTTAATAATAACGGAGGAGGCAGGTATCTTCCTATGCTTCCTGTTAGGAGAAAACCGCTTTCCACATCTGCACCTTGGGGCTACTTCTGAACCAAGCTGCTTTTCTGAAGACTGGTTCCAGTTTGGTCATTTGGAGCCCAGATCTTTTTGCTCAAAGATCCATTGTTCCCAGTGATGCTTACCTGCTGACAGTCTTCCCCATAGACAGTGCAGCAGAGCTGCGGGAAGCATAGTCCTGGCCTGAGTTTGTGGACTTGGGGATGAAAGAATTATTTCTTTTAATGGGTACGGGGCCAGCTCAAACACAGTTTTAAAAAATTTCTGCGTGTGTATTCTTTCTAATTTATTTATTTTATTATTATTATTTTTTGAGACAGGGTCTCTCTCTGTTGCCCAGGGTGGAGTGACGTGGTGCGATCTCGGCTCACTGCAATCTCTGCCTCCCGGGTTCAAGCGTTTCTCTTGCCTCAGCCTCCCGAGTAGATTACAGGCATGTGCCACCATGGCTGGCTAATTTTTGTGTTCTTAGTAGAGACAGGGTTTCACTATGTTGGCCAGGCTGGTCTCCAACTCCTGACCTGAAGTGATTCTCCCAAAGTCCTGGATTACAGGTGTGAAACACCATGGCTGCCCTAATTTCTTTTTTTATTAATAGAGCTTATTTGTAAGATCAGTTTTAGATTTCAGAAAAATCTAGCAGGAAGGACAGAGCATTCCTATACAAGCCCCACCCCTAGTTTCCCTTATTACTAATATATTAATATTATGTAATATTATTATATTATCCAATAATATAATAATTATGCAATATAATAATTGCATTCATGTGGCACATTTGTTACAATTGGTGGGCTAACATTGATACATTATTATTAACTAAAGTTTACAGTTTACATTGGAGTTAACTCTAGGTGTTGTACATTCTATGGGTTTAGACAAATGTATCCACCATTATAGTGTCATATGGGATAGTTTCACTCCCCTAAAAATCCCGTGGGCTCCACCTATACCCCTCCCTCCCTCCGCCAACCCCTGGCAACCATTGATCCTTTTACTGTCTCCATAGTTTTGCCTTTTCCAGACTGCCATAAGGTTGAAATCATACAGTATGTAGTCTTTTGAGATTGGCCTCCTTCCCTCGGCAATATGCATTTAAGTTTCCTCTATGTATTTTCAGGTCTTGACAGCTCACTTTTTTATTTTTTTAAGACAGGCTGGAGTACAGTGGCATGATCTCGGCTCACTGCAACCTCTGCCTCCCAGGTTCAAACGATTCTTCTGCCTCAGCCTCCTGAGGAGCTGGGACTATAGGTGTGCACCACCACACCTGGCTAATTTTTGTATCTTTTTTTTTTTTTTTTTTTTTTTTTTTGAGATGGAGTCTCGCTCTATCGCCCAGGCTGGAGTGAAATTTTTGTATTTTTAGTGGTGATGGGGTTTCACCATGTTGGCCAGGCTGGTCTTGAACTCCTAACCACAAGTGATCCACCTGCCTCCACCTCCCAAAGTGCTGGGATTACAGGCATGAGCCACCTCACCCAGCCAACAAGTCACTTTGGTTTTAGTGCAGAATAATATTCTGTTGTTTGGGTGCGACACAGTATATTTAACCATTCACCCACCAAAGGACATCTTGACTGCTTCCAAGTAGTGGCAATTATGAAGAAAGCTGCTATAAATGTTCATGTGCAGGTTTTTGTGGGCCTAAGTTTTCACTCATTTGGGCAAATACCAAGGAGTGAGATTGCTGGATCATATGGTAAGAGTATGTTTGGTTTTATACGAAACTGTCAAACTGTCTTCCAAAGTGGCTGTATCGTTTTGCATTCCCACCAGCAATGAATGAGAGTTCCTGTTCCTCCACACCCTCCCCAGCATTTGGTAATGTCAGTGTTCTGATTTTTGGCCATTCTGATAGGTGTGTAGTAGCGTCTCATTGTTGCCAAAGAATCTAGATGAAGTTCTCATTCTAATCATTTTATCTCTTTCCTCGCAGCCCATCTTACCTTGTAGCCCACTCTTCTCCTGCCTAACACTGTCCTAGAACCCTCAGGGTACCTTTCGTATCCATCCATCCCACTCTGGCACTCCACCCAGGCTGGTGTCACGAGACGTGTCCCGTGTTCCAGGTAGCTACTTCTCCCCATCTACCTCCCCATTCACCCCCATTGTCACAGTTGTTGAGGAGGCTTAGAGAAAAGGTGCTCAATTGTCCATTTAACAGAGACGTGAGACTGACTCACAACCCCTGAATTCTTTAGACATTTGCATTTTGAAAATATTAATCTCTCATTTGTTCTGAATTTTGCTGCTAAAGACCCAAATTAATTTAAAACCAGAATCCCTAGATCTCTTAATCTCTTCTTCACCTGTAAAATGACCCTATCAGACTCTAAGGATTAATTTCTAAAGTCTTATCTGACCAAAAGGATTAAACGTGAGAAAGGGAATGGAATGAAGAGAACAGTGTCGGCAGTGGTCGGGGTGGTGAGTGTCTGCCACAGAGGGAGGAGATTGCTCTTGCTTTTCAATTTCCTCCCACCTTTCACTTCTGAAATGTCGGAGTCTCGAAAAGCTCCCCTGAATTTTATTTTCAAGCCCACAGAGTCCCCCTGGCAGCAGGATAGGGAGGCCTAGGGATGGGAAGGGCACAGAGGTGACTGCAGCCCCTGCGTAGATGTCTGACTGGTAAATTGGGGGCTTACAAGGGACCTTTGGTAATTCAGCCCCTCTTATGAAAGACTCCACTGGAGAGCCAGTGCCAGTGCTCCCAGCCTGCCTGTAACATGCCTGGTAGTTCTCAAATCTGCTGCGCAATCCAGCCACCCGGAGTGGGGGTGGAGGCAGCTTGTTAGAAATTTAGTGTGTAGGGTCTCACCCCCAGAGGGTCTGATTCTGTGAGCCTGGGACCCAGAAATCAGGACTGTTTTTTTTTTGAGACAGGGTCTGCGTCATCTAGGCTGGAGTGCAGTGGCACAATCATGGCTCTCTGCAGCCTTGACCTCCTGGGGCTCAAGTGATCCCCGCACCTTAGTACCTGAGTAGCTGGGACTACAGGCGTGCTCCACCATGCCTGGTTAACTTTTTTTTTTTGAGAGGTGGGGTTTTGCTATGTTGCCCAGGCTGGTCTTGAACTCCTGAGCTCAAACGATCCCACTTTCTCGGTCTCCCAAAGTGCTGGGATTACAGACACCCGGCCTCAGAAATGGGAACTTTTGCCAAGCAATACAGGTGATTCTGATACAGGGCCATTTTATGGACAAAGAAACCAAGTTGAAATAGTGGCCTAGGGAGTCACAGCTGGTCATGCTGTCAGGATCCGCACTTGAACCTTGGTCTGTTAAGTTCCACAGCCTGGTTCCTTCCACTGGGTCATTCTGCCTCTCTGTTGAATCAATACTGGACTAACCTTCATAATTGGCACCTCAAGGAAGCAAGGAGCGTGTATGGGGCTTGGTATGTTCCCAGCTATGCGGTGCTCTGCACATGTGATCTCATGTCAGCCTCACGCCATGCTGCAGGGTTGTCTGGTGTGATATTTGCACTGTCCCTGTTTTATGAATGAGCATGTTTGAGGGCCAGAGAGGGAAAATTATTGGCTCAAGGTCACCCAGCCAGAGAATGGCAGAGTCAGCATGACTGTGATTCAAGACAACCTTCCTCTTTTTATCACATGGGACAGCTGGTGGATGTTGATGTTGCCACCTCCCCAGGGGTCCCCTCAGGTCTCTTTCCTGTGACTTCCATGGCTATGCCATTGTCTCTGGTGTTTGTGGTAGGAGCCTGGAGAACATCTGGGCACAGTGCAGCTCCTGTTTTCTGAGCTTTCAGGGCCTTCTGCAGGTGACATTCCTAAATTTATGGAGTCCCCTTCATCTGCCTCCCTCCTCATTTCCTTCTGGGTTCTGGAGGTCATAAAGTAGCCTCTTTCCAGGCCACAAGGATGGTGATATTTTACCAAGGCTGCTTCTTGGATCTTCCTCTTTGAGTGTTAGATTGTTCTTTTACCTTAAAGTGGAGAGCACATTCCGGGAAGGTACATATATTTTTTTCCAATTGATTTCTTGTCAGGTCTAACAAGATCAATCAAATCATATGGCCAATAAAACTGATTTAGCACTCATAAAGTCCCATGACATCTCATATGTGCTGAGAATGAATGACAAGGAGGCAAAACTGCTGGTCACAGGAGAACGCTGTATCCATGTGCTCAGTGGCCAAGGCTCCCTTCCCACCCAACAGAAAAATGCCAGCCAGACAGAGGCAGGCAGCCCCTCGGGTGCTGGTGGGAAGCCATGCCCACCAGAGTGGCACCAGGAAAGACCCCATCTTCGAGCTAGGAGGGGAAGAAAGCAGGAACTACAGCCTGAGGGTGCCAATAGAAAGATGGAAAACCAGAAATGTCCAGAGAAAATATAACTCAGAAACTTGAAACTGTCCAGTTTGATCTTGTATTGGGAAGTTCTGTTGCTCACCCCCATCCACTGTGTATTAGTCTGTTTTCACGCTGCTGATGTAGGCATACCCAAGACTGGGTAATTATAAAGGAAAAGAGGTTTAATGGACTCACAGTTCCACGTGGCTGGGGAGGCCTCACAATCATGGCCGAAGGTGAAAGGCACATCTTACATGGCGGCAGGCAAGAGAATGAGAACCAAGTGAAAGGGATTTCCCCTTATAAAACCAGAAGATCTCGTGAGACTTATTCACTACCACAAGAACAGTATGGGGGAAACCGCCCCCGTGACTCAATTATCTCCCACCAGGTCCCTCCCACACCACAGGGGAATTAAGGAGCTACAATTCAAGATGAGATTTGGGTGGGGACACAGCCAAACTATATCACGCTGTCTAATTAATAAGTGTGCTCATATGGCTAGGATTGGACTTCATGTCCTGGCCCTTCTTGGATCATTGCTGCTCTGGAGCTGGCTCTGAGATAGGCCCAAAGGATCCTCCCATAGGAATTTGAAAGCAGGCACTTAGAGACTGAGCCAAGAGTGGAGGAACAGAGGAGAAGTCTGTGCTTGCATGGTAGCTCGTCTCATTAATGGGAGTCACTAGGCTGAAGGGCATAGAATCCTTTGGCTGAGATCCCTAGAAGGACCTCTGTGCCTATTTCTCCAGCTACTTTGGGGATCCCTGAAACCTGTACCCTACAATAAATTATATTGCAGACAACCAAATGAAATCAGATTTCTTTGAGGGAATGATTTGTCCCAGTTCATGGAAATCTTGGAAGTGAGAAGTTTTATGTAAAGTGAGCTTTAGAGACTGTGTGGCCGTAGCATTGCTGATTTGTGGGCTGCAGAAGTATTTCTTGTAGGCTGCCCTTTAACATTTTTAAATATTTTTAGGTGTTCATGTAGACTCTCCAGTTTACCCCAGTCTCTACCACTCCCTCTTGTCTGACCCCTTGTCTACATCACACAGTGTCATTCCTTGCTGGCCCCTGAGGACATTCAGCTGGTGACTCCGGATTGAGCCCAACCCTCTGACTTTATAGAGAGGTGCAGTCACTTACCCAAAGCTACACAGGGGTTAGCATGGCAGGGGCAAGAGCTAAGATTTTTCTAACTTCCAGGAAGAGTGGAAATGGAATGCCAGCCTTCTGAAAGAACCTGTGATATGGACGCTGTTGTCAAATATACATTGATTGAATCCCTAATATGTGCACTGGTAGGTGCTGGAAATAACAACGTGGACAAGAACAAGACCTTGATCTGGTGGGGCTCACATTCTCATGGAGAGAGACAGATCGTGTTCTATTAAGCAGTAGTTGGCATGAAGAAGAAAAAGAAAGCATGGTGGGAGATGGAGCATGGAGACAGTGCTAGTTTGCACAGGGGGTTCTTGGGGAAGTGCTGACGCAGGTGAGGGATGAGCAGTTGGGCAACGTGGGGATGAGCATCCAGGTTGAGGGACGGGACAAAGGACCTGGTGGACAAATCAACCTGGGGGTTTGAGAAACAGCAAGAGGAAGAGGGAGGGGCCAGGTGCAATGGCTCACACCTGTAATCCCAGCACGTTGGGAGGCTGAGGCGGGCAGATCACTTGACCCCAGGAGTTTGAGACCAGCCTGGGCAATACAGTGAGACTTTGTCTCAGCAACAACGACAACAACAACAACAACAACAACAAAAAAAAAAAAAAAAAAAAAAAAGGAAGAGGGAGGGCAACGTGTGCAGGTGTTCCAGGCCAAGGTAAAGCTTTTAGCTCTGTTCTCAAGTGGCTTGAGAAGCTTCTGGAGGGTTTGAACAGAAAGGTGAGTTCATTGCGCTTCTGATCGGACAGCATCATTCGGGCTGGTGTGGTGGTGGAAGAGAGCAGGCCACGGTCAGGTCAGGCGAGGGGCCAGTGTGGGGCCACCGCAGTGCCGCAGGTCAGAGCAGCAGCCGCAGAGGCCGTGGGAGGGGTGCTGCCTGCTTAATGGAGCTTCACAATGCACATTTGTATCTTAACAGCTTTCAGAAGCCTCCACTTAACGATGATAACCAGCACCACAAACCCTGCATTTCCCAAATTATGACACCCTTTCCCCCCCCCCATTACTACAATTGATATCCTGCAAAACTGATTTCTGGAAAACACAATTTGGCAAACTCTACTCCTCTTTCTGCTCCATGCAATTTCAAATAATCAGGTTACCAGGGAGGGTGGTGGTTGATAGGTCCCCTGCAAAGCATTCTGACTCTGCTCCATCCTGTCTACCCCGTGGGTATCAATTAGGGCCATTCCTTACAGCTGGTCCAGCTGTATCAACTCAACATACTCTATCTGGAGCAAACACCACCCCTTCTCTGCAATCTAGCTGGGGAGATAAATTCAGTGAATCTGTGAATGACTCGATGTGAATCAGATTTATTTGAGAGGAGGGAGGGGAGGTGATGGCTCGCAAAGACTGCTGTTCCCCACCGGGCGATTCGAGCCCAGGCCGTTTGCCTCTGGTTCTGCCCGCTCAATGCCTTGTACTGCTGAGGCTGCAGGTGAGTAAAAGCTCAGCAATGTCTAGAAAGGTCTCAGAGGGCATAGACCTACCTATTTCCCTCCCTCCAACGCTGGCTTATAACTCACCTGCTGCCAACCCTAAGCTGACCTCTGAGTTTTATTGTTGTTTGCTGGCATCAGAGAAGGTTACTAAATTGAAATGTTGAGCTGGGCAATATTAAAGATTCTGTCTGGTTTTAGAGCTTTGGGGCCGATAAAGGCCGAGTAGAGCGGCTCTTAGTGGCTTAGTGTTGTGAGGATGTGGGGAGGCTGTAGCTTTGGACACAGAATGAGAAGGAGGTCAGTTAGGGCTTTCTAGCGTGTTCTTTATGCTCCAGGCTCTGGGGGAGGTAGCACGAGTCCTCTTGGGTATCTCTGCTGTTATGTCACCTGGGTGAGTACCTGTATTTATTGAATGTCCTTGGGCCAGGCTTGTGCATTCACAGACATTGACAACTGGAGTCCCTCGAGGCACTCTGCAAAGCGCCCTGGGCCTTACACTCCCACCTTTTGTTGCCTGATTGTGGGAGGAGGGCAGGAGTTGGACTTTCTGCAGCTGGGTCCTCATCTGTGGAGACTGGGCTGCCCGCAGGCCTCCCAGGCCCCCATCCTGTGCTCTGTGACTGACTCTTGCATGCTCATGCCCAGGTGCTTGTGAGCTCTCACCCATTCCCAGGAGCGGGCAGGCTGGAGATGAGGAATTGTGGTCTTTTGCATTGGGCCGTCTCCCCTTTCATCAGTGACTGGAATGACCCTAACGGGAGTGATGTGAGTTGTGGGTCCATCCCAGCAGCTCCTCCAGCCGCCACGTCGGGGTGTGTGGCAGCAGCCAGTCCCCAGGAGCTGTTTGGTGCTGCCAGGCGCGGCATGCCGCACAAGGCTGGTGCTTGGTGAAGCTTGAGTGTGTGTGCGTCTTTTCGTGCATTTTCAACTCCCCTTCACCCAAAGCTTAGCCAGAGCTTCAGAGATAGGAAGAAGCACCCACATCCCAGGACCAGAATTACACAATCATAAATGTGTGCAAGTGGGAGACAGCTCAGAATCCCAAAAGCTTGCTACAGCGTGACAGATGAGATCAGTCCACATGGGCAAATTATTTAATTGATAAATGACCTATATGAGTTTTGGAAGACTAACGGCAGCAAGACTATCTTGCAACAATTCCCAAGCAATGTCCTCTAACAAACAGCTATTGTTTGTGGCATCAACATAGTGGTAATTCTTTGGTCTCCAACACCAGGCTCAGGGGTGTGACGTCAGTGAGCGGTTCACAGGCCCTGCTGCTTCCCATGCAAGACTCAGCATCTTGCAGGTGCCAGGGCCCCTGGGGGTTTCCAGCCTGGGATGGATGAGTCTCTACCCTCTGGAAGAGCTCTCCCTTTCTGCATGTAACCCCGGGCGAGGGAAAGCAGAACTTGGGGGGAGACTGTAAAACCCAGAGTAAGGTGGACCCTGGGCAGAGTGGGGGAGCTCACACCTGCAAGCTGCGTGCAACCGAAAGGCTGGCGACCTGTAGCTTGTCAGATTCAGATATGGTGCAGGTGAGGGCCTGGCAAACATTTAGTTTAATTTCTGAGACCGTTAGAGACAAGGTTAAATTCCAGGTGAACGCGGTTCCAGAGTGGCTGGGATTCCCACTCTCAGATGGGAACCCTTCAGACAAGAGTAAAACAGGAGGGACTTCTTCGCCGCCCGCCCTGCGGTGTGTGCCACGGAGGCCGCTGGGTGGGGGCGTCCAAATGTGGAAGCGTTCCTCCAGCATGCGTGGATATCCTGAGGACTCACGGACACCGATTCCCTCTTCCGGGCCCAGACGTCCTAATTCCCGTCCCCCTTGAGGTGAGATCCCGTTTTCCCCCAGCCAAAGGGACTCCGGAGCCGCATTCACCTGACTTGGCTGCCAGCGCCCGCCTTCCTCGAGTTCTCAGGGCAAGGGGCTGTGGTGCATTTTCTGGGGATGGTTTGTGGATGTGGAAGAGGGAAATCCTTTCAGGGATTTTAGTCATTTGGCAATTGGTGATTTTCATATGACGTGCTGGTTTTAGGGGCCAACTCTGATAAGCTGGGACGCCCTCCCCTTGATTCTAGAACAGAAGGCATTTTGGGCTAAGGACGCTCACAACCCGGTTTCCTGTCCCGCGTGGTTCATGGGGCTTGCCCTGGGCCTGGGAGGCCGGTGGCGGGAGCCTCCCCTACAGTGAGGTGGGTGGGGGGCGCCACACGGCGTCTCAGGGAGAGGGGAGAGGCGGCTTCTGTTCCGGGAAGAGGGAACGGTGGAGGCCGCCGTTCTCTTGGGCGCGGCCTCTGCTGGGGGACGGCGGGGATCGCAGGGCCGAGGGGCCGGGCGCGCGCGGGGGAGGGACCCAGGCCAGGGGCCGCTCGCCTCGGGGCGGGGTCTCTGGAGAGCGCGCAGAGGGGACGCTTCGTGAATGCCTGCCGGCCTGAAGGATGTCGCTGATCTCTGCCCCCTTCGCCAAGGCCGGGCCAGGCGAGTAGGGGCGCGGCCTGAGCCCCTGCGGTGATTCCCCAGGTGTGGAATCAAAACAGATCCCAGAGCGCGATCCGCGGGGCTTTTGGAAGGAGCCGCCCAGGGCTGGAGATTCCGACGCAAAGACCCGGAGGCCCGCGGAGCTGTGGGCGCAGCTGGAGATGGCGGAGGCCCCAGCAGGGAGTGGGGGCTCGGGGTCCGCAGAGGCAGCTCCATCCCCGGCGCTGGGGGCCGCATGGTTCCCGCAGGCTGTGGCCAATCGAGGACCGGGCTCCGCATTCTTCAGACGTTCCTGAGCCCCCTCTTGCCCCAACGTCCCCCTCCCGGGCAGCCCCACAGTGGGCGATTTTCCCGCACTCCGCACGAGTCCATCCCCATGGTGGACTAGGGGCCGGGTCTAGGCTCTGCGCTACCCGGCCAGAGCGTCCAGCGGCCCCACTGGGCGGCGGCGCCACGCGGACGTGGGTGGGAACAGCCCCCGGACCCGCCGGGAGACCCTCGCGGGGAAGAGAAGCCGAGCAGCTTGGGGGCGCCCCGGCAGGGAGGGACGTGCGGCTGGGAAGAGCTGGCAGGTGGCACCCGACCCGCAGCCTGGTGAGCAAGGTGCCAACTGTCCGCCCAATTTCCTGTCCTTGCAGTAAAACTGTAAAGGGAGACATTTAGCTCGGCAGGAAACTCAGAGCTAAATTTTGCAATTTAATTTTGCAATTTAATTTTAATTAAAAACAAAATTATCTTTTTTTAATATGTGTATATATATAGAGACAGCAAGCGAACTGATTTGGGAACTTTATATATATACATATATACGTATATGTATATACATATGTGTGTGTGTGTACATATATGTATGTATATACGTATAGCTGATTTGGGAACAAATAGCTGCTCACTGTGTGGAATTTCTGAACATTCACAAAAGTTATTTAAAGAAAGTAAAGGCCGGGCACGGCGGCTCACACCTGTAATCCCAGCACTTTGGGAGGCCGAGGCTGGCGGATCACTTGAGGTCAGGAGTTCCAGACCAGCCTGGTCAACGTGGTGAAACACCTTCTCTACCAAACAAACAAACAAACAAACAAACAGAAAACAAAAATTAGCTAGGTGTGATGGTGCACACCTGTAATCCCAGGCTGAGGGAGGCTGAGGTAGGAGAATCCCTTGAACCTGGGAGGTGGAGGTTGCAGTGAGCCGAGTGGGATCACACCACTGCACTCCAGCCTGGGTGACAGAGTGAGACCCTGTCTCAAATAATAATAATTAAAAAAAGTAAAAAGTTCTGACATACCACTATACAGATGGCCAGCCACGTAAATACTTCCATGTATGGGCTTGACTTTTTTTCTAGTAATATTCAATGCATACATGGCTTATATGGTATATGATGGTTTGTAAATTGCTTTTTCATATACTACTAATGTATTTTATGTCAGTTAGACATCTACCTCATTTTAATTTTTAAATTTATTTTTATTTTTCGTTGATATTTAAAGAACTTTTATTTTTAAACCTTTTGTAAGAATACAGAATTTCAGTTAGGAGGAATAGGCTCAGGAAATCGATTGTTCAGCATGGTGACAGCTATTCATTAATAGTAATGAATTGTGTACTTGAAAATTGCTGAGAGAGTAGGTTTTGAAACGTTCTCACCACACAAAAAAATGTAAGTATGTGAGGCTGGGTGTGGTGGCTCACGCCTATAATCCCAGCAGCTGTGGAAGGCTGAGGTGGGTGGCTCACTTGAGGTCAAGAGTTCGAGACCAGCCTGGCCAACATGGCCAAACCCCGTCTCTGCTAAAAATACAAAAGTTAGCCAGGTGTGGTGGCACATGCCTGTTATCCCAGCTACTTGGGAGGCTGAGGTGGGAGAATTGCTTGAACTTGTGAGGCAGAAGTTGCAGTGAACCGAGCTTGTGCCATTGCACTCCAGCCTGGCCGACAGAGCGAGACTCCGTCTCAAAAAAAAAAAAAGAAAAAAATGTGTGTATATATATATATATATATATATATATATATATATATATATATATATATATATATAGTAATGCATACATTAGATAGCTTTATTTAACCATTCCATAATGTATCAAAACGTGATGTTGTACATCATAATTGTATTCAATTTGTCAATTAAAAAACCTTTTATAAAGTCGCTAGTGTCTTGCTAATTCATCTTGATAAATCTGAATTCCTATAGGTGCTTCTCTCCCCACCACCCCCAGCTTTATTGAGTAGTGGGTACACAAAAAACATGCATATAATTAATGTAGATGACGTGGTGAGTTTGAGTTTGGACATATGTATATACTGGTGACTCCTGTCATTGTCACCACAATTTAAATCGAATTACTAAGTCTAAGTTTTCTGGTGAAGTGATTTTTTTCTTTCTTCTTCATTGAGTAGACTTGCCATTTTACTCATATTTTAGTGATTTTTCACTGCGTTCATGTCCCGTGTCTTTTTTTTTTTTTTTTTTTGACGGAGTCTTGCTCTGTTGCCAGGCTGGAGTGCAGTGGTGCGATCTCAGCTCACTGCAACCTCTGCCTCCGAGGTTCAAGCGATTCTCCTACCTCAGCCTCCCGAGTAGCTGGGACTACAGGTGTGTGCCACCATGCCCAGCTAATTTTTGCATTTTTAGTAGAGACGGGGTTTCACTATGTTGGCCAGGATGGTCTTGATCTGTTAACCTCATGGTCCACCCCATGGATTACAGGCGTGAGCCACTGCGCCTTGCCTCATGCCTTTTTTTAAAAGGCACCACAAAGTTTTTTTTTTTTTTTTTTTTATAAGTCCTGTTACTTATGTGAACATTCTGATCTAGCCAAATCATTGTATCTTGCCTAAATATGGCTTTTAATCTTTTTGTCTGTGTCCTTACCTGGGGTGCTTTCTTCATTCTTTTCTGCTATTAAAGCTCTCCCATTTTCTTCAAATTCTTCCATCCTATGTGAAGGTTTCCCCTTTTATAGTGGGCCTGAGTGACTGGTGCTGCCTCTGAAACTGAAAGCACTTACTCTCCCACCTCCACTTTTGATTCACACACATATATAGCTTTGTGATAGCCTTGTTTTCTTGAATTAGTTACAGGCCTCGATAATGTTTTCAACTTTTTCCAAGTGTGGGCATGTCTGAGCTAACCTATCTTTTGTAAGGAGGGTGATTATAGGTAGAAGTATATGTAAATACAGCTGAGACTCATTACTCAGGCGAATGGGGGCAAGGCCAGAAGGAATCTGTGCCAAGTCTGAGTGATAGTATTCATTCAAACCGTTGTCACCTTCGTGTTTACACAAAACACTAGTGAGATTAGCAATGTGTTGTGTATTCATCGTGCAAACTCCAAGGTTCTGTTTTAATGAATGAATGGATTCACAAGGGTTTATATTTGATTTTGGTTTATTGTATGTTAACAATTCCTCTGTATTAAAAAATTGTTCTATTAAATTCAGTAAACTGCAATCTGTTCACACTGTTAGCAAACCTATTTCTGTTTTCTCCTTTACATATTTGTGGAGTTTGTGTGTTCGTTACATGCATAGAATGTGTAATGATCAAGTTAAATATTTGGGGTACCCATCACTGTATTAGTCCATTCTCACACTGCTATAAGGAAATACTTGAGACTGAATAATTTATAAAGAAGAAAGGTATAATTGACTCACAGTTTTGCAGGCTATACCAGATGCACGATGCTGGCATCTGCTGGGCTTTGGGGAGACCTCAGGAAAGTTATGGTCGTGGTGGAAGGCGAACGGGGAGCAGCACTACAAATAGAGAAGGAGAGAGAGAAGAGGGAGGTGCTACACACGTAAACAACCAGATCTCATGACAATTTACTCAGTGTCACAAGAACAGCACCAAGAGAATGGTGCTAAGCCATCCATGAGAAATCCACCCCCATGATTCAGTCACTTCCTGATATGGTTTGATTGTGTTCCCACCCAAATCTAATCTTGAATTGTAACTCCCACAATTCCCATGTGTCGTGAGAGGAACCCAGTGGGAGGTAATTGAATCATGGGGGCAGGTCTTTCCCATGTTGTTCTCGTGATAGTGAATATGTCTCATGAGATCTGATGGTTTTAAAAATGGGAGTTTTCCTGCTCAAGTTCTTTTTGCCTGCCACCATGCATGTAAGACATGACTTGCTCCTCCTTGCCTTCCGCCATGATTGTGAGGCATCCCCAGCCATGTGGAACTGTAAGTCCACTAAACCTCTTTTTCTTCCCAGTCTCGGGTATGTTTTTATCAGCAGCATGAAAATGGACCAATACACCTTCCACCAGGCCTTACCTCCAACATTGGAGATTATATTTCAACATGAGATTTGGGTGGGGACATGGATCCTAACCATATCAATCACCTTGAGTGTTCATCATTTTAATGTGTTGGTAACATTTTAAGTCCTCTCTTCTAGTTACTTTGAAATATACATATAATATTGTTTCTGAGTACAGTCACCCTAGTCTGCTATCAAACATTAGAACTTAACTTCTTCTATCTGTCCATTTATACCCATGACTATCCTTTCTTCCTCCTCCATCACCTCTCACAACCTTCCCAGTCTCTGGTATCCATCATTCTATGTTACATGTCCATAAGGTCAAGTTCCTTTTAGCTCCCATGAGTGAGAACATGTGATATTTGTCTTTCTGTGCTTGGCTTATTTAAGATAACGGCCTTCAGTTCCATCCACGTTGCTGCAAATGACATGATGTCATTCTTCCTTATGGCCAAGCAGGATTCCATTGCGTATAAGTACCGCATTTTCTTTATCCATTCATCTGTGGATGGACACGTAGGTGGCTTCCACATCTTTGCTGTTGGGACTAGTGCTATGATAAACATGTCAGTATGGGTATCCCTGCCATCTACTGATTTCTTTTCCTTTGGATTAATACCCAGTGGTGGGATTGTTGGACTGTATGATAGTTCTAATTTTAGCAAACATTTCTTTTATATTTACTTATATAATACTTACAACTCACAGGAAATTCAGAGCTAAGTTTTATATTTAATCTAAAAATTGATTTTGGGATTTTTTTTTTTTTTTTTTTTTAGCATCCAGACATGTATTAGTCTGTTCTTGCACTGTCATAAAGAAATACCTGAGACTGGGTAAGTTATACACTTGATCTTAGCCAAAAGGCCGAGAAGCGATCTGGGTAAGTTATAAATAAAAGAGTTTTAATTGGCTCACGGTTCTGCAGGCTGTACAGGAAGCATAGTGGCTTCTGCTTCTGGGGAGGCCACAGGAAACTTACAGTCATGGCAGAAGGTGAAGGGGAAGTAGGCACATCTTATGTGGGGGGGGGGCGGTGGGGGGAGGTGTGATACCCTTTTAAACAACCAGATCTCGTTAACGAGTACCCACTCACCATCACAAGAACAGCACCAAGGGGATGGTCCTAAATAATTCATGAAGGACCACCCCCATGATCCAGTCACCTTTCACCAGGTCCCAACTCCAACACTGGGGATACAATTTGACATGAGATTTAGTGGGGACACAAAACCAAATCATACCAAGACCTTAACCTCAATGGATGCCCATTCCGAATAAGTAGTGTCTGAGAAATGAGAGCTTAATTCTCAAACCCTGGTCCTAGGAAAAAGAGCCCAGCATGGGAATTCAGAACATTTGGCTTCTAGGAGTTGTGTCCTGCCATCATGATCTGGGTGGCTTCCCCATTTCTACACTGAGAAAGTCTGATGATCACCAAGCTGTCTTGCAGGTCTATGAGTTTATGTGGAAATAGGTCATAAGGATCCTTCCAGGAAGCAGGAACTCCAACAGCCTGGAGCCTCCTGGATTGCACGAGGTCAGTGTGAGGCTGACCTCAGGGCTTGTTATGCCCAAGTACATATCTTCATTTCGGGTTTTGTAACAGTGACCCAGCACATAAAAACAACATTAGTGGTTAGTGGTCTTCGTGAAGTACCTTTATCTTGTTCTCCCTGGTCTATTCTAGTGTGCTGGAGGCAAAACAAAAGCTGCTGAAGCCAGTGTGTAGTTTAAAGACAATAATGAGTTCCTGCTGGTAACACTTTATGCACACACAGCCCAGGTGACTCCCATAGAAGCAGGACAGAGAGAACCATTATCTGACAAAGTAGCACACCCACCAAATGATTTTCCTACGGCCTTCTGCACAGCAGGGCCTGCGGTTGCCTCCCCTCCTCCCAAAGGTGCTTCTGTGGTTGAAATGAAATAGAAGCAATTAAACAATAAATACGAATTACTGGCTCTTCGGGAGCTCCAGGGGTATTGATTCAAGTCCTACAAGAATAAACTGTCATCCTCGTTGACTTATCCGGGATTATATTTCACCACTAATTGAAGTTCACCCAGGGAGTGTTCCCTTGAATGTAAAGAGCTCTTGGGCTCTGGCTGCTTTAAGAAACAGTTGCTTTACTGAAAGAGAAGGAGGACCTTTTGCAACCGAAGCTATCTGGTGCTACAGGCCCCGTGCACATTGCATTGTGTGAGCAATGTTGTCAAAAGTGAACATTGCTGCCTTATTTAGAGGTCCAAAAACCATTTGATCTAATAAAATGGACACAGTGTCCTTAGAGCAAAGGGAATTTTCTTGGTTCACAATTGCTTGAGGTTGACTTCATGGTTGATAGAAAGCCAACTGCTAGATATTTTTTCATTAATGGTGTTACAATCATATCTAAATGGAAACATACAATAAAGTCAGCTATAATTTGTGCTGATCATAGACTGTCTCATTATTTGGAGGACAGATTGCTTCACAGAGCTGGGCTGAGATAGCATTGCCCTCAGTTTTGTGATATTGGAGATCTTGCCTTGATGAATTTTAAGACCATTTGGTTTAAATGCAAATGTTAAAATAAATAATTGCTTTGCTGTGAGCCAAAGTTGAGCAGGCTAAGAATATCTTACTATGAAGCACATGGATAAGATGAATGTTTTAAAGGAAAAGCTTGATGTGTTATCAATTATATTATGTAGAAGAATTAATAGAAAAAAAGCTTGTAATAATTTCCTCTTCTCCAATCACACAGTAAGAGGCCATTGTTAGTCTGACTTGGAAAGCATCCTGATCTCTTTTATGGACAGTGTTAACAGTGTTTTCACACTTAATACAGTTTCTGAGGCAAAATATTTGTGTGTGTGTGTGTGTGTGTGTGTGTATGTTGTGTCTTTCTACCCTACACTATGCCATCTTCTAGGCAAATTTCATTTCTATTTCCCTACCACATCTCCTACCTACAGGCTACGTGTTCACACAGATGAGGCAGTGAGGCTCTTGGAGCCTGCCCCACCAAGGTCCTCCCTCTGGAGGGTGGAAATGTACCAAACCACCATGGTGCACTAGCAGGACTCAGCAGTGGGCAAGTACACCTCTTCTCCAGCCTGTGCCCTGTTGAGCTTCGTTGCACCATCTCCTGGTGCTCCCCTCATCTGGCCAGGGTCCTATTTGCTTTGCTGTGTACCCCTGGAGCTCCCGAAGAGCCAGTAATTTGTATTTGTTTAATTGCTTCTATTTCATTTCAACCACAGAAGTGCCTTTGGGAGGAGAGGAGGCAACCGCAGTCCCTGCTGTGCAGAAGGCAGTAAGAAAATCGTTTGGTGGGTGTGTTACTTTTTAGATAATGGTTCTCTTTGTCCTGCTTCTATGGGAGTCACTTGGGCTGTGTGTGCATAAAGTGTTACCAGCAGGAACTAATAAAATCCTAAGAACCCCCAACCATCTGAATGGGCTCTCCTTCTTGGTCAAGGGGATTCCAAAGTTAACCTGAAAAACTAATTCAGGCCATGATGTGAAGGAAGAGTCAGGCCTGCTTCATTAATACCCTCCCGCCTTTTGAAATCGAGGCCCAGCTGACCAGCATTAACATCAACACAGACCTTAAGACTGATGGACTCTTTAAGTCTGATAAGAAACATTTACCGTCTATTCTCTCTGAAGCCTGCTACCTGGAGGCTTCATCTGCATGATAAAACCTTGGTCTCCACAACCCCTTGTCATAACCCACACATTCCTTTCTATTGATTCTAGGCCTTTAGATAATAACTCTTTCAACCAGTTGTCAGAAAATCTTTGATTCTGCCTGTGACCTGGAAGCCCAGCTTCTGGTTGTCCCACCTTTTGAGACCAAACCGATGTGCATCTTTCGTGTATTGATTGTTGTGTCTTGTCACCCTAAAACATAGAAAACCAAGCTGTGCCCCAACCATCTTGGGCACATGTTCTCACAATCTCCTGCGGGCTGTTTCGTGGGCCATTGGTCACCCATATTTGGCTCAGAATAAATCTCTTCAAGTGTTTGACAGACTTTCTCTTCATCGACACATCTATGCCTTTCCATGTAAAGGGTTGCAAGATTTACCATCTGCTGTATCAGGCACCTTGGGCCACCACCTCCCATCCCCAGGCCCGGCCTCTGAGTCCATCCCTGGTGGTGGAAAACGGCTGTGGCAAACAGGTTTTCCTGCTTTGTTCTGACAATGCCTCACCTGAAGTGTCAACTGTGGCCCTGGCTTCCTGCCCAGGGACCTTCCCCCGACATTGTGGTGCTGCCGAAAGCACTCATATCTGTGCAACTGGCCTAGGGGAGCTCACTCCCCAGGGCCATGGTAAGTGGAGTTTATGGATAAGTACTTCTGCCTTTCACTTCTCAGGTGGGCAACTTTGTAGCACGTTCTGAGCTGCTCCTCGGAAGCCTCCAGCAGGATGGAGCATGAGGCAGAGCTCGGGTCAATTCTCAGCAGTCCTAGTATTGGTCTTTCTTCTTGATTCTCCACTCCTGCACCCCCAAGGTCACATCCCAAATAAACTGTGTGTAAGTTTTGTCTTGAGCTCCACTTTTGGAGGAATGAAGGCAAAGAAACTTGAAAAACTTGAGACTGGGAATATTAATTTTTGAAAAAAAAAGATCACATTGGCCAATTTGCTTTTGGCCAAATTGGTTTCAGACAATTGTTTCCTGGCCAAAATAAGCGTTTCTAAATGTCTACCTCTTCTTTCTTTCTGACCACAAACATGCATGCATATTCCTGTCTCCACGTGTGCGCACACACACCCCCCCAAGCACCTCTACATGTGTGCACATACCTCCCATATGCACACATGCACACACCTTTGCATACATATGGCATGCACACACATACTCAGGACAACCCCCCACATTGACACACTCGTACACATGCACCCATGCATGATAACATGCACACACCCATCCCCGGGGACACACATGCGCACACACACCCCTTGGGTTGCCCCCGCCTTGACCCTCTCCCCAGGCATGCTGTGCAACTGGCCTAGAGGAGCTCGTGCCCCGGGACCATGGTAAGTGGAGACTGTTCCCTGAGCATTTTGGTCCCTCTGACTTGGTCTCAGGGCTCTCTGAAGCTGCCCTCTGAGAGCTCTGGTGAGGTGTCCTGGTGCCCTGATGACACAGCTTCATTCCTGCTGCAAGGAGCAAAGCTTGAGCGCCCAGCCACAAAATAGGAAAAGCAAAATCTGGGGCTGGACAAGCACTGGTGAGCTTGGCTCTGTGGAGAGGCACACCTGACCCCCGGGTTGCTGTGTCCTGAGTTGGGGTGTGCGGGGCTTGTGCAATCTGACACAGGACTTGGATGCTGGCTTTGTCATGACTACTGTCTACTCATGTGACCTCATCTGTACTTTCTGCTCAATACTTTCATATGCTCTCTTCTTGTCTCTGTCCTTTTACCTGCAGATCACCTGTTACGGGAGGCGGAAGGGTGGAGAGTGAGCCCATTTTGAAAGAGAGACTGGAACCGATGATGAGTAGATAAGGCCATGGGAGTCTGCTGGATTATGGTGGAACTGGAGGTGGGCCTTGGAAGATGAGTTAAAGCAAACACGGGAGGAGCATCTTAGGCATTGGCCAGGGGGCGTATGATAAGCAAAGCTACAGATAAATATTCACAGGAAAGTGATTCAAAACACATCACAGTTGCTTAAATTGAGAGAAGACTAAAACATATAGCAGCAGAAATTGCAGTGGAGTGTGTCCTAGAAGGAAGGACTCACATCTTCTTGGGTATATGTCTGAGGCATTATCATAGCAGGTGACTGTCTCACCCCACCCAGCCTAAAACTGTGCCAGACCTCAGAGAAAAAGTCCATGAGAAAAGAGACCTCAGGAAAAATTATTCGCTCACTTCCAAATCCTTTCACATTAGATCAGCTCTGCTGACAAATACAAGAGAAACAAATAAAGCCCTGCCCTGTGGTAGTGTCCCTCATGATGGTGCGCATTGGGTATAATGCAACTAGCTGTTGCTCAGGCTGTTCTCCCAAGAGGTGTACTGAGCTTGGGAGAGCGGAGGGGACTGAGGTGACCAATGCCTCCTCAGCGGCACTGAACTTCAAACAGGCTTCTCCCTGACTCTTGGTCCCTGACTTCCCTTTCTTACAGCATTTACTTTAGAAAACTTGTAAATTGTCCGTCTGCCCATTTGAGCCTCTTGTCAGTTTTACAACCCAGGAATGCCTTTCTCCAGGACCTGGGAGCCATCCCTTTGACATGTGATTGTAGGAGAAGATAGCATTCCTATCTTTAGTTTCCCTGGGAAGGTGGGAGTCTAACTTCTGCAGGTACCTTGCTCCAAGTTGTAAACTACTAACTGTCATGAGGATATGAGAGTTTCCTTTCCCTTAGAGTAAAGGTGATTAGCAAACACAGATGGCCCGGGTCTTCCCCTTGTCCAACTCTTTTTTCTTTTTTTTTTTTTTTTTAGACAGAATCTCTGTCACTCAGGCTGGAGTGTAGTGGTGCAATCTCAGCTCACTGCAACATATGCCTCCCGGGTTCAAGTGATTCTCCTGCCTCAGCCTCCCGAGTAGCTGGGACTACAGGCATGTACCACTACACCTGCACCTGGCTTTTTTTTTTTGAGACAGAGTCTCGGTCTGTTGCCCAGGCTGGAGTGCAATGGCACGATCTTGGCTAACTGCAACATCTGCCTCCTGGGCTCAAGCGATTCTCCTGCCTCAGCCTCCCAAGTAGCTGGGACTACAGGCATGCACCACTACACGTGCACCTGGCTTTGTTTTTTTTTTTTTGAGAAAGAGTCTCAGTCTGTTGCCCAGGCTGGAATGCAGTGGCACGATCTCAGCTAACTGCAACATCTGCCTCCTGGGCTCAAGCAATTCTCTTGCCTCAGCCTCCCGAGTAGCTGGGATTACAGGCACCTGCTACCATGCCTGGCTAATTTTTGCATTTTTAGTAGAGATGGAGTTTTGCCATGTTGGCCAGGCTGGTTTTGATCTCCTGTCCTCAAGTTGTCTGCCTGCCTTGGCCTCCCAAAGCACTGGGGTTACAGGCATGAGCCACTGTGCCCGTCCCTCCTTGGCCAGCTCTTAAAAACTTTCCTGCCATTTGTTTCAGCAGAGTTGAGTTCGGACTCATCTCTGACCTCTCTACCCTACTGCAATAGCCTTGAATAAAATCTTCCTTGTCTGTTTAACTTTGTCAGGTGCAATTTTTGTATCACTAAGAAGTGGAGAGATGGTGGTGAGTCCCGATGTCCCCAGCGTTTTTGTGACTCCTTTTCTATAGATCGGGCAGTTAAAATGGGGAGATCCTGGAAGTCTCAGCCAACCACAGGAACAAAAACTGTTCTTATTAATATTTAATCCCCAAAGGACAATGGCCTTTAGATGACACCAAATTGCAGCTGGGACCAATACCCATTTGGATCTTGCAGCTACACCCCCATCTCCTGGGAGACCTGGGCAGGCTGCATAGACTCCCCCAGGCATTTCACAGTCTTAGCATTTTATGTCATTGGATTTTCTGGACTCCTTTCTGACTTTAGCCCCTCCCAACATTTCTCCCTTATGTACTGGGTGAGGAAGCTTTTGGAACTGAGCCCGGTGGGAACCTGGTTCCTGGTACTGACCAGCCAATCACAGGACAGTGCTGTGGGAAATTCACTCAAGAACAAGAAGTGTCAGATAATTTTGGCTTTGTTCTGAAACTGAAGTCAAAGATTCAACTGAGCAGAGGTACTTAAATGGCTCTCCATTGAAATCATTACATTTTTTCCTGAGTTGCAGTGGTCTTTTGTGGTGTCACATACATAGCTTATTTAAAGTAAATCTTTTCCCCTCTGTGTTTAATAGTCTCTTAGCATCCTATTAAATACATTCCCCTTTCACTTCAAAAAATATTTTCCACTGGTGCTCAAAATTAGCCTAGGATTTTTTTTTCTTTTGTCCTTCCAGTCTGTCAACATTACAGGTACCATCAGGCACTCCTACTGAAGTTGATTTGAGAGGCAAAAAGTCCAGGCAAGATGGCACTGATTCCAAGATTTTGATACTTTTCCATTTCCTCAGGGTGAGAATGATTACGCTTTGAAAACACAGACATTTGTAGCTGATTATAGTATACGATGGACATGCTGTTTCTTTTCAGCAAACATGACCTTCCTTCAATGTCTAGTTAGGCGACAGCTCCCACATGATGGCCTGGGGCTTCGATATTTCAGGATATTTCTCACTTTTTGGATCTTCTTTTCTGGTAGAGACTTGGAGAGCAAAATGGTGAAATGAGTGGGGGAATGCGAAGATAGGACATTATAGAAAGCAACAAAAGCAGGACTTGTAGCACATTTATTAATTATTAATGAGGTGTTTTTATTTGAATCTCACAAATCAAAAGGGATACCTGTTGGAATGAAGTCTGGTTAGTTAAGTAGACATAATTCTTGATATAAGGTTCCATCCAATGATGTTTGTTTGGTACACACATTTTGTTATTTTTATTATTTTTTATTGGAGATGGAGTAGCACTCTTGTCGCCCAGGCTGCAGTGCAGTGGCACTATCTTGGCTCACTGCAACCGCCGCCTCCTGGGTTCAAGTGATTCTTCTGCCTCAGCCTCCTGAGTAGCTGGAATTATAGGCTTGCACCACCACGCCTGGCTAATTTTTGTGTTTTTAGTAGAGACAGGTTTTCACCACTTGGCCAAGCTAGTCTTGAACTCCTGGCGCCAAGTGATCCGCCTGCCTTGACCTCCCAAAGTGCTGGGATTAGAGGCATAAGCCACCGTGCCTGGCCGGTACACACATTTAAAAATGTCTAGAACTTTAAAAAATTAGTTCCAACATTTAAATTTCAGGGGCTAGCATATACAATTTTGGGTTTCTGGCTTGGAATCAGATGATCTGATCACAGTAGTCCACATTCCCAAATAGGAACAGCCACTGGATCAGGGTGGGGAGATGAAGGGGAAGTCTCCCAGTGGATGTTTTCGTATCTCAGTTTCACCTGAAGTGCTCATTGGTTCATTCATTCATTCATTCATTCACTCCCTCCCTCCCTCCCTCCTTGCCTCCCTCCCTCCCTCCCTCCCTCCCAGTGAACACCTGCTGTGGGCAAGTGGCACAGCTCTACAGGAATGGGGAGGAGGCAAGTCCTGGCCAGACCGAGGGTGGAGGCTGTTTGTCATTCTGGGGAGGCATCTTAGGACCCACATCAACAATTAGAGGCCACACCAGGTGGTGATGAAAGCGGAGAGAGCACTGGACAAAGAGTCAGACGGCATGGTTTCCTGCTGATCCTGCCGTTTATTTATGGGTAGTTTTGGGCACATTATTTAATCGCCCTGCGTTGGATTCCTCATCTGTAAGGAATGCTTATCCTAATTATCTCATTGGGTGGTTTTGTTTAGAAAGATAATAACTAAGCTGACATGTACAGAACACTGACCACACTCAGCCTCCAGGCTAAGCCCCTAGTGAGTGTGGACCAATTATTCCACGCAGCCATCTCACGAAGCAGGGGTTTCTCTTCTCTCCCCTTTACAAAAGTGAGGAGAAGTAGCATCCGCCACCATGACTCTGGTGCTGTAGAGCCTGCCCCTTCTCACCCTCTCTCTAAGGACAGGATCTGTTCAGGTATGTTAAGGTATTCTCTTGCTTGAGAGTTCACCTATCCTCATAAGGGGACTTCGTATATCTCTGGACCTCTCAATTTTGAATTTATCTTATGACTTCTTTAAAAATAAATAAGTATTAAGCCCCAATGTCGTGACTGTAGGTGCCAGGCTCACAGCTAGCAATGTACACCACGGGAGACGAAGACACAGCTTCTGTTCATGTAGTTAGAGATGGACCGGGGAGGAGGGAGAGGGAACACATTCATCGCCTAATTAAACAACAATGCAAAAAACTAGCACTTAACGCTGGTCCACAGAAGAATGGGGGATTTGGTCCAGCTGCAGTGGTCATGGAGGGATTCCCCAGGGAAGTGACCACTGAGCTGGGTTCTGAAAGAAGAACAGGTCTCAACCAGTTGGGGAGAAAAGGGAGGTACCTTCTGACAGAGGGAGCAGGTGGCACCGAGGTGCCTTGTCAAGGAGAGCAAAGTGCATTCCAGGGAGCAAAGGAGGCTGACTGGATGGGGGCGCCAGGGCTGGTGGGGCCAGGGTAAGTGGATGCTCACCCTGAAATATTTAGGGGCTATTAAGGAGAAATATTTAGGGGCTAGACCTCTGGGACTTCTAAGGCTGTGTGGAACAGTTTGTCCTTATCCTAAGAGCAATTAGAAGTGACTGAAGTACTGAAACCAGAAGGTGGACATGCTTGGATTTGCATTGTGAAAACTGCTTCTCTGCAGAATGAGTTGGAATAAGGACATCTGGATGGAGATGGTCACGTTGAACGGCTGTTACTGTCATACTCGTGAGAGGTGGTGGCAGCCAAGGGTGGTGGCAGTGGAAGTGGAAAAAGCCCTCAGGGTCTAGAGATATTTAGGGGTTAAAATCAATAGGACTTGATGATGTGTTAGATATCAGGAAGAGGATGTGACAAGGGGATGTCAAGGACAGCTGTGGAGTTTCTGGTCTTCATCATTAGATAGAATGGATTGAATTGACACTGAGCTGGGAGGACCAGGCTTGGGGCCGGTGGACAGCAAGTGAAGCAGAGATGGTTTGGTTTCCAGATTTGTTGAATTTGAGGGGCCTTTGACATATCCAAATGGAAATGTCAAGCAGAGAGTTGGATTATATGAGTTTAGTTGGGCAGAAGGCATCCTTTTTTAACTTGATATTTTGAAATAATTGTAGACTAATGAAAGTTGCAAAAATAGTGCAAGGAGACCCTTCACCCAGCTGTCCCCAGTGCTGACATCTTATCTAATTATAGATCAGCACCCAAACCAGAAAAGCCATGTAGGGACAATATTGCCACTAGACAACAGATCATGTTCAGATTTCATTATTTATGTGCACTCATTTGTGTGTGTCCGTGTGTATTGTTCTGTGTGATTTTATCCCACATATAGATTCATGGACCCTTCACCAAAATCAGTGTTCCATCAATACAAAGAAGCTCCCTCCTGCGACCCTCATATTCCCCTCAACACCTGTCCCTGTCCCTCTGGCAACCAGTAGTCCCATCCCTATCTCTATGCTTTTGTCATTTTTAGAATATTATATAAATGGAATTATATAGTACATAACCCATTACATACTGCCATGGACTTTTTTTTTTTTTTTTTTTTTTTTTTGCTAAGCGTAGTGCACTTGAGATCCATCCAGGCTGTTGTATGTGTGTCAAAAGTTTCTCCTTTATCTTGTTGAGGGATATTCTACTGTGTGGCTGTACCAGAGTTTGTTTACCCATTCACCTATTGAAAGACATTTTAGTGTTTTTTTTAAAATTTCCATAGGTTATTGGGGAACAAACAGGTGATGTTTTTTTATATGGGTATATTCTTTAGTGGTGATTTGTGAGATTTTGGTGCACCCATCACCCAAGCAATATATACTGCACCCTATTTGTAATCTTTTATCCCTCACCCCCTTCCCACCCTTTCCCTCTGAGTCCCCAAAGTCCATTGTGTCATTCTTATACCTCTGCGTTTCTCATAGCTTAGCTCCCACTTATGAGTGAGAACACATGATGTTTGGTTTTCCATTCCTGAGTACTTCACTTAGAATAATGGTCTCTAATCTCATCCAGGTTACTGTGAATGCCATTAATTCATTCCTTTCTATGGCTGAGTAGTAGTCCATCATATGCACATATATATGACAGTTTCTTTATCCACTTGTTGATTGATGGACATTTGAGTTAGTTCCACATTTTTGCAATTGTGAATTGTGCTGCTATAAACATGCTTGTGTAAGTATCTTTTTTTGTATTATGACTTCTTTTCCTCTGGGTAGATACCCAGTAATGGTATTGCTGCATCAAATGGTAGATCTACTTTTAGTTCTTTAAGGAATCTCCACACTGTTTTCCATAGTGGTTGTAACTAGTTTGCATTCCCACCAGCAGTGTAGAAGTGTTTCCTGTTCACTGCGTCCATGCCAAAATCTAGTATTTTTTGATTTTTTGACTATGGCCATTCTTGCAGGAGTAAGGTGGCATTGCATTGTGGTTTTGATTTGCATTTCCCTGATCGTTAGTGATGTTGAGCATTTTTTCCTATGTTTGTTGGCCATTTGTATACCTTCTTTTGAGGCTTGTCTGTTCATGTCTTTAGCCCAATTTTGATGGGATTTTTTTTTTCTTACTGATTTGTTTGAGTTTGTTGTAGAGTCTGGATATTAGTCCTTTGTCAGATGTATAGATTGTGAAGATTTTCCTCCGCTCTGTGGGTTTTCTGTTTACTCTGCTGACTGTTCCTTTTGCCGTGCAAAAGCTCTTTAGTTTAATTAAGTCCCAGCTATTTATCTTCGTTTTCATTGCATTTGCTTTTGGGTTCTTGATCATGAAATCTTTGCCTAAGCCAATGTCTAAAATGGTTTTTCCAATGTTATCTTCTAGAATTTTTATAGTTTCGGGTCTTAGATTTAAGTCCTTAATCCATCTTCAGTTGATTTTTGTATAAGGTGAGAGATGTGGAATCCAGTTTCATTCTACATGTGGCTAGCCAATTATTCCATCAGCATTTGTTGAAAAGGGTGTCCTTTGCCCACTTTATGTTTTTGTTTGCTTTGTCGAAGATCAGTTGGCTGTAAGTATTTGGGTTTATTTCTGGGTTCTCTATTTTGTTCCATTGGTCTATGTGCCTATTTTTACCAGTACCATGCTCTTTTGGTGACTATGGCCTTACAGTATAGTTTGAAATTGGGCAATGTGATGCCTCCAGATTTGTTTTTGTTGCTTACTCTTGCTTTAGCTATGTGGGCTCTTTTTTGGTTCCATATGAATTTTAGAATTGTTTTTTCTAATTCTATGAAGAATAATGGAGGTATTTTGATGGGAATTGCATTGAATTTGTAGGTTGCTTTTGGCAGTATGGTCATTTTCACAGTATTGATTCTACCCATTCATGAGCATGGGATGTGTTTCCGTTTGCTTGTGTTGTCTATGATGTCTTTCAGCAGTGTTTTATAGTTTTTCTTGTAGAGATCTTTTACCTCCTTGGTTAGGTACACTTCTAAATTTTTTTTTTTTTTTTGCAACTATTCTAAAGGGGGTTGAGTTTTTGAGTTGATTCTCAGCTTGGTTGCTGTTGGTGTATAGAAAAGCTACCAATTTGTGTACATTAATTTCGTACTGGAAACTTTGCTGAATTCTTTTATCAGTTCTAGGAGTTTTCTGGAGGAGTCTTTAGGGTTTTCTAGGAAGAC